>NC_000012.12:110641946-110793461 GCF_000001405.40 Homo sapiens
AAAAGTTGACATTTAAATGTTTTTAATTTCACATTTAAACAGACACTCCTAAACAGATGTAGTGATTTTGAAAATTTAGAATTTCAAAGGGCCAGTTTCTGAGAATTTTTCTTCTGAGAATCCATTTATTAAGGAAAATAGAACTGTTTTTTTGCCTGCTCCTGGGAAATAGCTGTCAAAATCCCAGAGGCCCAGAAAAAGTGTATTTGGGTCTCCCTCATGTCACACAAGTGACACTGTCTTCTTACCTGAGAACCAGGCTGCTCTAGCACTAGGCAGTTGTCCCTTAACTGTCTGTGAATGTCTGGGATTATTCAGACCACAAATAGATATGGACAGCTTACTATTCTTCATAGCACAACTGAGCAAGACTGCTTAGCACTGGAGGGGGTCCGGACCCCAGTATTATTTGGTTACACTATGCAATCTGGCTGTAAACTAAGGTAAAAGAGTCACTTGTTTCTGTTTGAACTTGTGCTGATCAGAAAACAAAGCATTCTCACTTTTCCCCATTTTAATCAAATCTCTGCATCAGCTGATGAGCTCACATGAAAGCCACATATAGTATATCATCATGCATGAATAGTAGCAAAACTGTTACAATCATTTTTGTTATTAAATACGGCAAAGCAAAAATTTCAAGGCTTTGTATGTTTCTTTTTCTTTTTTTAAGAGATGGGGTCTCGCTCTGTCTCCTAGGCTGGAGTACAGTGGTGCCATTATAGCTCACTGCAGCCCTGACCTCCTGGGCTCAAGGGATCCCGCCTCAGTCTCCCAAGTAGTTGGGACTACAGGCATGCACCACCACATCCGGCTTTTTTTTTTTTTGAGACAAAGTCTCCCTCTGTCACCCAGTCTGGAGTGCAGTGGTATAATCTCAACTCACTGCAACCTCTGCCTCTGGGTTCAAGCAATTCTCCTGCCTCAGCCTCCTGAGTAGCTGGGACTACAGGCATGTGGCAACATGCCCAGCTAAATTTTGTATTTTTAGTAGAGACGGGGTTTCACCATGTTGGCCAGGCTGGTCTCAAACTCCTGACCTCAGGTGATCTGCCTGCCTTGGCCTCCCAAGGTGCTGGGATTACAGGTGTGAGCCACCATGCCTGGCCTAATATTTTTGAATTTTTTTTTTTTTTTGTAGAGACAGGATCTCACTATGTTGCCCAGGCTGATGTTGAACTCCTGGGCTCAAGCAGTCCTCCCATCTCAGCCTCCTAAAGTGCTGGGATTACAGGTGTGAGCCACTGTGCCTGGCCTGTATGTTTCATTTTTAAGGTTGTTTAGCATTTGAGTTCACAGCAAAAATATTTCCCCTGACAATATTTCCTGTGTTTCTCAATTTTAATATACACAGCACATCAAAACCAGTGAGAGGAAGCCTGAATATGATCTGTTTTTATCTTATCAAATATGTACATAATGTAAAATATCAAACAGCGCTGCGCAGCTTGTTATAAAAATAGTTCTTACCCTCATTTGCCCCACCTTGGAGGCAACCACTTTCAACTCTTGTAGCTGTTTTTTTCAAATTCTACCCCCAAATCTTGAAATAACCTGCATATAATGCTACTTCTTGATTTTTTTGGTTTTATGAATTTTTTATTGTTTCCATTAAGGAAGACAAAGGTTTGGCTCTTTCCCCTTCATCCCCTACCTCATGACCCACACACTTCCCACATCTTCCCAGGGTCATTGGATCATTATTTTGGTTAGACCAATATTTACCATTTACTTATATTATTTTTTGAGACAGGGTCTCCCCCTGTTGCCCAGGCTGGAGTGCAGTGGCGTGATCAGGCTCACTGCAGCCTTGGCCTACAGGCTCAAGCAATCCTCCTGCTTCAGCCTCCTAATAGCTGGGACCACATGCGGGTACCATCACACCTGGCTAATTTTTAAAATTTTGGTAGAGACAGGGTCTCCCTTTGTTTCCCAGGCTGGTCTCGAACTCCTGGGCTCAAGTGCTCCTCTTGCTTCAGCCTCCCAACATGTTGGGATTACAGGTGTGAGCCAGCACATCCAGCCACCATTTACATTATTAGTTCTGATCCATTTAGACCAGCATTTCTCAAAGGGAGAGGGTTCCATGGAATACATTTCCACAAGACATCAGTAGGGGTAGGTCTGTGGTCCAATACGTTTGGGAAACACCAAATTAAAGTTAAAACAATGGTTCCTTCCTGTATTACTCATCAGAGCCTTTAATAGGCAAATGTGCCTCAGGAGGGACATGGGGATGTGGAGGTTCAATGCTTCCCCAACTTTGGCCATGAAACCCTTCTTGTACAGATCTTCAGTGGAACACAGTTTGGGAAACACTGTTTTAGACTCATCATCTCACAGGTAAAGATTTTGCAAAGTTAGAGACTCTTTAGCTTCTGTCAGATAATCCCTCATTTGGAGAATGAGAAGATAATGAAACTGGGAAGGAATGGAACTGCTCGTGGGGCTGAGAGCAGTGGCTCACGCCTGTAATCCCAGCACTTCGGGAGGCTGATGTGGGCAGATCACCTGAGGTTGGGAGTTCGAGACCAGCCTGGCCAACATGGTGAAACCCCGTCTCTACTAAAAATACAAAAAAATTAGCCAGGCATGGTGGTGGGCACCTGTAGTCCCAGCTACTCAGGAGGCTGAGGCAGGAGAATCACTTGAACCTGGGAGGCGGTGGTTGCAGTGAGCCAAGATTGCCTCACTGTACTCCAGCCTGGGCAACAGAGCAAACTCCATCTCAAAACAAAACAAAAAAACCAAAAATCAAAACTTAAAAAACAAAAAACTGCTGGTGGGCTGGGTGTGGTGGCTCACTCCTGTAGTCCCAGCACTCTGGGAGGATTGCATGAGCCCAGGAGTTTGAGGCTGCAGGGAGCTATGATGGTGCCACTGCACTCCAGCTTGGGCATCAGAGTGAGACCTTATCTCAAAAATAAATAAACAAAGGGAAGGAAAGGAAGAAGAAAATGAAAAACTGCTGGTGGATGAACAACAGCCTCATTCAGTTGACTTCTTTTTCCTTCACCAAGACTGACTGGAGCTCTCCCGTGTCAGCTCGTAGCACAGAAGGTGAAGAGCCTGCTGTGGGGCCAGGGCTTCCCAGATTACGTGGCCCCTTTTGGAAATTCCCAGGCCCAGGACATGCTGGACTGGGTGCCCATCCACTTCATCACCCAGTCATTCAACAGGAAGGTAAAGGGGAGAAGGTACAGGTTCCATGCTAGTGGTCTCTGTCTTCCAGGTGGTGTGATGAAGGCAGCCGGGGAAGCCAGCTGTTAAGGAGGCAGGATGGCCCTGAGTGGGAGCGCGGGCTGAATCTTGGATACTGATTTTTGCCCCTTGTTAGCAATGTTGCCTCTGGCCAGCAGTTTTATGGCTTTGAGCCTCTGTTTTCATCTGTGAAATGGGAACGCTAGTCAATAGTGAGTGAATGGCCTCATGGGGCATTGAGAGGGTTAAGTGAGGTAACATTTATGTGGCCCTGGGCATGGTGCCTAGTGGTCCATAAATGGGAACCTCTGTGATCCTCATCCTGTTGCTACCATCATTGTGATTGCTGGTGTCCCCCGAGCCCTCTCCAGGCATCTCATGACACGATAGACGAATGTTGAGTCCTGTATCAAAGACTGAGACTGACTTCCGTGCATGTGGCTCTCCCACCCATTGTCCCCTGTTCTACACAGGCAGCCCACACCTGAGAGTTTTCACTGCCACAGTTCCTCACAGAGTTGAATGGAAGTTGACAATCCTACAGATAGGTTCCCGGTCACACATGATGCTTCTGCCCACCTTTTTCTTTTGTCTTAGCAGTCAGCGTGTGGGCCGGCCCTGGCCCAGGGGCGTGCTCTCCATCTTAGCCTGTAATTGCCCAGCTTGTTCTTGTCACGCTTTCTTCAGACCTCTCATTATCCGCTCCGAATATTTCTAGCATGGGCATAACGGGGGTGAGGACTGCTCACTTCTCTGATCCGCCCTCCCACCGAGGCCAGCAGAGACCCGGGATTACTCAGTCCCTGCCGTTCCACTGCGAAGTCTTGACTCAACTCTCCCACCAGAACCAGGCACATCGCTTCTGGCTTCTTGGCCATGGGTGAAGATGTGCAGTTATTACTCCTCCTCAGAAGGGAAGACATGGGTTGGGAGGAGAGGCAGCAGTGCGCACATGGCACCGTCAGGGTCTGTGCTGATCCTGGGTGCTCAGAGGGCCTGCAGCAGCAGGTTTTGTACCAACTCTGCCGGCAACCCAGGTAGAGGCAGGCACGAGCACCTGCTAAACTCAGTTTCCACCAGCTGCATGCTGCATTGTCTCCTAAGAACAGGGTATTCGAGAGGATTGTTCAGTCTGCATGGTTTTTAAAGGCGGTTCCAAGCTAAGGAATTCCATCAGTGCTTTTTTCGCAGCCACCAAATTTAGCAGGCCTGTGAGGTTTTCATATCCTGAAGAGATGTATTTTAAAGCTTTTTTTTTTTAATGAAAAAATGTCAGACACACACAAAAGTAGAATAGTACCATGGAGTCCCCACGTACCCAGCCTGCAGCTTCAACAGTTACCACATTTGCCAACCGGAGAGACTGCCAAGGCAGGAAAAAGCCCTGGAAAGCCCACGGCCCCTTTTTCCCTTGGGTCAGAGGCCTTAGAGCTGGCTGCCAAAGCAGCCAACCAAAGGGGCAGCTCAGCTCCTTCGTGGCACCAGCAGTGTTCCTGATGCAGTTGAAGAGTTGATGTCTTTGACAACATACGGACACTGCCTGGATTACCTAGATGTCACATCTTAATTGCCAATTGATGAAATTAGGTAAATGAAAAGAAAGCACTTAAATTTCCCCTTAGAGCATTTTAACATGACATGCAATCAGGTTTTGTCTGCTAATAATTATTTCTCCCCCTCCATCCCTCCCACCAGTTTCTTTCCTGAAGTCTGTGAGGCCGCTATAAACAGGTAGATGAAGTTAGAGCAGTTATGGCCCTAAATGGTCCACAGTTGGGTATTGGCACTACCGCAGTTTCAGGTGATGTCGGCATTTTTAGAAATAGGAGGAGATGGAAAAATTACGCTTCAGCTGTTAAAAATATTTTTGGGGCATTGAGTTACTTTAAAACACGTATATTCTCTAAGCTGTTTTTATCTGAACTTGTAGAGTCTATTCATTTTCTTGTTCAGAACATTTTGTAATATGTGAAACCTTTTATAATTAAAACTCTGAACTGCAGATTAAGTCTGACTTGCAGTTTTGTAAGATTCTAATGGATTAACAGCATTTTGTTTTGCAGGATTCCTGCCAGCTCCCAGGGGCTTTGGTTATAGAAGTGAAGTGGACTAAATACGGATCCCTGCTGAATCCACAGGCCAAAATAGTCAATGTAACTGCAAATCTAATTTCATCCTCCTTTCCTGAGGTAGGCCTAACCTAGTTTAAAGGCATAGGTTAAGACAGAAGTCTAGACACAACTCAAGTGTGGTAGGTGACAGGTATTACTTTGTGAAAAAGATTATAATTTAAACCATGGGGGTTCATAAAATATTTCAGCAGTCATTCTTAGAAACACTGACGATGGTTCTACTTACATTAGCATTCTGGTTCAGATTGGATCTTTAAAATTCTCATGAAAATTATGATATTCACGTGTTAATCAGACACCCTGGTAAAATTGTTTCTCTCATCCAAGTTAATGGCCAATTAGTGCTCCAGGACCTATCAGATTCATGAACTGACAGTAGTTGGGTGAGGAAGAGAATGAAAAGTGTCTCATTGTTGTCATTCTGGGAGCACACTGGAGGGTGGGCCTTGCATCTCTCTGTTTATTACAGGCCAACTCAGGAAATGAAAGGACGATTCTTATTTCCACTGCGGTTACTTTTGTGGATGTGTCTGCACCTGCAGAGGCAGGCTTCAGAGCTCCACCAGCCATCAATGCCAGGCTGCCCTTTAACTTCTTCTTCCCGTTTGTTTGACGTAAGTGAGGAAACTACGCCCCTCCTCTGAGGTCATCCCCTTTGGAAAGTGTGCACGTGGGGCTAGAAGTCCCTAGGGGATACTGCATTTTATACTTTTTGAGGGTCTCGCTTTGTTGCCCAGGCTGGAGTGCAGTGGTGTGATCATGGCTCACTGCAGCCTTGACCTCCTGGGCTCAAGCAATCCACCCACCTCAGCCTCCTAATAGCTGGGACTACAGGTGCACACCACAACACCTGGCTAATTTTAATATAGTTTGTAGAGATGGGGTCTTGCTGTGTTGACCAGGCTGGTCTCAAACTCCTGGGCTCAGGTGCTCCTCCTGCCTCGGCCTCTGAAAGTGCTGGGATTACAGGTGTGAGCCACCATGCCTAGCCTTATTATACTTCTAACCTTTGAGGTTGCCTCCAAACCAGCACACTGCCCTTCTCCACTCCCTTCCTGCCTTTTTTCCTTTTGGAAATGTTATTCTATCTGACTTTTGAATGGGGAATATGCTTAACACATAGGTCATAGATGATAGAACCCAAAAAGTCTTTGGGGAGATGGTAAAGAACATGAACAGGACTTGAAGCAGCAGAGGCAAGGGGGATTTGGCCAGTTCATTCATCCCCTGCTTTGAGTTATTTATTTTAAAAATACTCAGTTCAGGTTTTTTCCTTTTTGGGTCCGGTTGAAATGAGTACAAAAAAATAGCAAAATATTAGATAAAATCATGCGAGAAGAGCACACAGCCCTTACAAGGGGATCTTCCCCCAAATACCTTGTTAATTATAGTGGAGTCTTGGGTCTAATTGCCATTTCTGCACCAGGCACTGTAGCTAGCTTGCTCTCCGACTGGCAGGCTGGTATGGGTGCCACAGAGGAAAGAATACAGTAGGAGGGTCCAGGGAAAAGAGAGAGTTTATTTTATACAGTAGTTGTTTTATTTTATACAGTAGTTGTACAGTAATTGAGGAAAAATGTTGTCAGGTGGCAGAAAACAATGGAGCCACCTAGAAGCTGGCTGATGCAGCTGGGGCACACAGAGGAGGGGCCTGGGTACCCCTTTTGGGGAAACTGAGACGAAGCTATTTAGAACAGCTTGAAAATAAGAGACTTTTCTAGAATGGGGTGGCAGCTAAAGTAGCTTCTTTTTCTTTCTTTCAGAATGCTCAGATGCATCAGTTCCTTAATATACACGTGAAATTTGAAAACTGTACATTCGGTGAGATTAAATTTTATATACAACTAGCAATTGTCCAGCTTTGTTGCTCATTTTCAATTAAGGCTAAAGTGTTCAACATGAGAAAATGTGATACATTTGATACAGTGTGGGGTGGGAGTGGATGGGCAGCTCTTGGTGGTACTGGACCTTCCACAAGGCTGTGTCCACCCAGAATCCATGCTGGCAGGAGGGAGGCAGAGGTATCAAACCAAACCTCTCACCAAGCGGCCCAGGAGGGGCAGCTGTTCCTCTCGTGACAGCACAGGCCCATGAGACAGTGTCTTCTTTTTGAGGGGAGCTGGTCCGGGTCTAGTTCACTTCACCAAGAAGTCCATGCTGTCGCAATAGTTTGTTAAGTCTTTCAATTTCTTGTTCCTATTGCAAAAGCAGACAAACACTGGAATTTACTTTGAGCCTCGCCAGGGATGTGACAATCAATCATTCAGTGAGCCCCAGGCACAGGACCACAGAGATGAATGAAAGCTACGCTGTTTGTGGCATTCAGTCTGCTGAGGAGACTGCTACAATCAGATAGGCTTCACTGAGCAGCAGTGACAGCAGTGAGAAGACAAACGTGGGGGACCTGGCAGAGCCCTGGGATGTGGGGGTGGGCACAGCTTCAGGGAGGATGTGACGCCTGGGCTGGATCTGAAAGGACAAGGCAGGCTCAGCCCAGGGAAGGGCGCTCTAGGTGCATGAGCAGCGCTCTGCTGCAGGCGGGTGCTGCGGCAGAGGCCAGCTTCCCAGATATCTTTTTTTTTTGAGACAGAGTTTTGCTCTTGTTGCTCAGGCTGGAGTGCAATGGCGCGATCTTGGCTCACCACAACCTCCACCTCCCGGGTTCAAGCAATTCTCCTGCCTCAGCCTCCTGAGTAGCTAGGATTGCAGGCATGTGCCACCATGCACAGCTAATTTTGTATTTTTAGCAGAGACAGGGTTTCTCCATGTTGGTCAGGCTGGTCTCGAACTCCGGACCTCAGGTGCTCCACCTGCCTTGGCCTCCCAAAGTGCTAGGATTACAGGCATGAGCCACCACGCCTGGTCCCCAGATGTGTCGTCTTTCTTACCTTCTCAGAGCAGCTGAACTCAAGGTGTTGAATCTTGGCGGCCAATTGTACATTCATCTGTTTTAACCTTAAGAGTTGCCGTTCTGAACGTGTCTTAACTGAGATGATAATCCCTGAAATAAAATTGGGGGTCTCAGTGATACTGGTTTCTAACTTAACCACTCAGGAAAAAAATCTGTATTCTTACACCTGTATAGAGTTTGGAGGAGTGGTGACAGACACGCGAGACAGTCATCACTTTAGGGCATCAGAACTGGGAGGTCAGGGTTTTGTGTCTGAGCTACTTAGTACCCAGTTACACAGTATCTCTCTTTAGCTGGCATGGCTGAGAAATCCTTAAAAATAATCACTGACAAGATGAGCATTAGGATTCTTAACCTAGAACCTGTTCACAATCATGTGGGTGCACAACAGCGGTGTCCATAGATGCCACGAAAGCACAGGCTGGGAAATGCCCCCTTTCCCCATAACAGGCATCTTCTGTAGGAACTGAAAGGCTTTTTTTTCTTTCCTTTGACAAGAGTCCAGTTTTTTTTTTTTTTTTTGAGATGGGGTCTGGCTCTGTCACCCAGGCTAGAGTGCAGTGCACAATCTTGGCTTATTGCAGCCTCCAAATCCTGGGCTCAAGCAATCCTCCCACCTCAGCCTCCCCAGTGGCTGGGACTACATGTGTGCACCACCACACCCAACTGATGTTTGTATTTTTTGTTTTGTAGAGATGGGGGTTTCACCATGTTGCCCAGGTTGGTCTCGAACTCCTGGGCTCAAGTGATCCTCCTGACTCAGCCTCCCAAAGTGCTGGGATTACAGGCATGACCACTGCACCCAACCTGTTTCATTTTATTTGCTTGACGTAAACCTGCTTATAACCAGCTCCTAAAGGGCTGAAGAGGAAGAAGGGAGGAGAGGGAGGTGAGGGGGCAGAGGGGAGGCCTCCATAACAGGAGCCACTGTGAGCTCAGGCACCCAGAGTGACTGCGCAGTCAGGCCTTGGATGTATGCCTGGGCCCCTACTCTCCATCCACAGCCTGGGAGTGCAGGAGACGTACCATTGATGATCCGGGCCACCCGCCACAGCCGGAGCAGAATCAGCAGGCCCAGAGCCTCAAACTGGTGCTCCTGGAACAGGAGGACAATGTCGAGGATGAATGAGACCACCACCACGACGGCATCCAGGATCTCAAACTTGTGGTGAAAGAACTCCAGGCGGAAGACAAATAATTTAAAGATGATCTCCATCATAAAAAAGACCAAGATGGTGATGCTCATGTAGTGGAATACCTGAAGGGGACAAGGAACCACAGTCAGGGGAGATTGGGCCTCTGGGAGGTCAAGCTGCCCTCACATGCACCTGCCTGGTCACCAGCAAGAGAATTCCTCTGGTGGACAAATCCAGATGCCCAGTGCTGGAAACACAGCTGTGAACACCACAGATGAGGCACCTGCTCTCTAAAGGGCAATTAGGCAATGTCAGAATTAAAGCATCCTCTAGACCCTTTGGACCAGCAATTCCATGGCTAAGAACTTACCCTACAGCTGAGCTCCTGTGTGCACAGGGACTAAGGATATTTACTGCAGCACTGTTTGCAGAACAAATACTTTCTGCATTGTAAGACAACAGAAATGTCCATTAGACAGAAATGTCCATTAGAAGTTACTCTTGAAATGAATGGTGACACCTCCATATGGGGCCCTAAGGACACACTTGTTAAAAAGATTAAGCTGGGTGTGGTGGCTCGAGCCAATAGTCCCAGTTACTCAGGAGGCTAGGTGGGGCCTCCTGCCAAGAGCCCAGTTTGAGGCCAGTCTGGGCAACATAGCAAGACCCCATCTCTAAAATAACTGAATGAATGAATGAATGGAGGCAGATCCATATGTTCCAATTAGGAGTGATCACCAAGGTGGTGTAAAGTGAAAAGGGTTCCAAGATCTTGATCTAGTCCTGGCTGGGCACAGTGGCTCATGCCTGTAATCCCAGCACTTTGGGAGGCCAAGGCGGGCAGATCACCTGAGGCCCGGAGTTTGAGACCACGTTGGCCAACATGGTGAAAACCTGTCTGTACTAAAAAAATACAAAAAGTTAGGCATGGTGGTGCATGCCTGTAGTCCCAGCTATTTGGGAGGCTGAGGCAGGAGAATTGCTTGAACACGGAGGAGAGGTTGCAGTGAGCCGAGATTGCACCACTGCACTCCAGCCTGGGTGACAAGTGAGACTGTCTCAAAAAATAAAAATATAAAATAAAATAACCAGTCCTCACACCAAGATAACCATTTCCAGATCTGAGGCAGGGGAGGTACAATGTGGGCAAGGACGTCTTTTGCCAGCAAGGAAGTCTTCAAAGACATCACAGAGTCATGTCAACAGGACCCAGCAGTCAACTTGAAGAGGCTCACAGTGACAACATTTGGGACAATCTGAACATTGAAAAGAATGACTAAGATTGATTGTAACACAGTGAATAAAAAAATTCACAGTGCGGCACATACACCCATGCACACATACATACACACATGGGAAAACAGGGAAGTGCTTTTTTATAGAAGAGTACCTACTACTAAATGTAGAAGGAAAGACAGAAAATCACCATTTTGCATTCCCTAGTGTAGTCACTGACTCAGGCAAGTTTCACCAACAGATGCCAACTGGGGAAGAGGATATTTGCATGCTACCAAAGCAGTACCAGGCAGATCATTTACCACTGCAACGGGAAAAATGCCCCTGGCCAGTGGAGCAGTCCAGCAAGTGACCCAACTGAGTGGGACCCCTGGCGTGGTGTGCCTCCTGAAAATGCCACATCCAGAACATCGCCAGCCAATGAAGACTCCCTGCTGATCAAGCCCTGGACCTAACCGTGGTGTGCAGGAAATGAAGAAACAAGGCAGGAGACCTCAAAATCATCAGACAAATCCAGAACATGGGACATTCTACTGGCTGGGCTCTTCCAAGAGTCATTGTCATGAAGGAAAAAGAAAAGCAGGAGGATTTCTCTAGATTAAGAAAGCCCAGGGAGGCCGGGTGCAGTGGCTCACACCTGTAATCCCAGCACTTTGGGAGGCCAAGACAGGAGGATTGTTTGAGCCTGGGAGTTCAAGACCAGCCTGGGCAACACAAGGAAACCCTGTCTCTACAAAAAATTTAAAAATTAGCTGGGTGTGGTGGTGCATGTCTGTGGTTCTAGCTACTCAGGAGGCTGAGGCGGGAGGAAGGCTTGAGCCCATGAGATCAAGACTACAGTGAGCTGTTAAGTGCTCCTGCACTCCAGCCTGGGTGACAGGGCAAGACTCTGTCTCAAGTAAAAAAAAAAATTAAAAATTCCAAGGAGACATAACCAAATAGAATATTGGAATTCTCTATCCTAGTTTGAAAAAAACTGCCATTAAAGACATTCTTGGGCTGGACACGGTGGCTCTTGCCTGTAATCCCAGCACTTTGGGAGGCCGAAGTGGGCAGATCACTTGAGGTCAGGAGTTCGATACCAGCCTGGCCAACATGGTGAAATCTCATCTCTACTAAAAATAAAAAAATTAGCTGGGTGTGGTGGCGGGCACCTGTAATCCCAGTTACTCTGGAGCTGGAGGCAGGAGAATCGCTTGAACTCAGGAGGCGGACGTTGCAGTGAGATGAGATAGTGCCACTGCACTCCAGCCTGGGCGATAGAGACTGTCTCAAAAAAATAAAGAGAGACATTTGGGATGAGTGAATAAAAGTGGTTGTTAGGTGGGACTATTGATCTTATTTTAGATCTGATGGTGCTCTTATGGCTCCATGGGAGAAAAACCTTATTAGGCACGTTGAAGTATTTAGGAGTGAAGGGTTGTGAAGTCAAATGGCCAGACGGAAGCGTGTGTGCGTCCGTGGGGATGTATAGTGACAAAGCAAACACAGCAAAATGTGTCTTTGCCATTTTTCATAAAAAGTTGAGAGAAAAAAAGACAATAAGTATGGCAGGTATGTTAATGGATTCTATTAAAAATAGAGGAAGAGAGCCAAGTGCAGTGTCGCACGCCTGTAATCCCAGCACTTTGGGAGGCAGAGGTGGGTGGATCACTTGAGCCCTGGGGTTCAAGACCCAGTCTCTGAGAAACATGAAAACAATTATTTAGGAGAAAACAGATGGACAGGGAAGATTCTCCTCCTATGCTGGCATAGGAGATGTCACAGGGCTGCCTCTGGGAAAGGTATCAGGAAGAAGGAGGAAGTTTCATATTCTGCCGTTTTCACCACTTGCAAAGACATACATTTGCATATCAATTCCATTTTGTTTTTCCAAAAAAGGGCATGGCGGGGGATGGGGGGGAAATGCTTTTTTTTTTTTTTTTTTTTCCTGGAGACGGAGTTTTGCTCTTGTTGCCCGGGCTGGAGTGCAGTGGCGCTATCTCGGCTCACTGCAGCCTCCGCCTCTGGGGTTCAAGCGATTCTCCTGCCTCAGCCTCCTGAGTAGCTGGGATTACAGGCGCATGCCACCACGCCCAGCTACTTTTTTGTACTTTTAGTAGAGATTTGGTTTCATTATGTTGGCCAGGCTGGTCTCGAACTCCTGACCTCAGGTGATCCACCCGCCTTGTCCTCCCAAAGTGCAGAGACTAAAGGTGTGAGCCACCATGCCCAACCAGGGATGATTTTAACTCTCTTGATCTCCGCCCTTGGAACTGAGACAGGGTATGTCCACCACCCTTTGGGTGAACATCTGGGATGGGCTCAGTAACTGAATCAGTGAATAAACAGCAGATCCCCTGATGGCCCAGCAAGGGGACCATGCAGACCATCAACAGAAGACAGGAGGAATGCCCCTCCTGACCCAGAGATGGCAGAGTGGATCCACCCCACATGCTCCAGCTCACTAGCCTAGCATCGCCCAGGATTCCAGCCATCATGTGAAACAACGTTTCCTGCTTGTAGTAAATGCTAATCCATATTCTGGAAAGGAAGACGAAAACACCTATCAAACTACCACAGACCTTGCTACTCCAAGTGGGGTGTCAGCTGCTCCACTCTGCACCCCGTCTGTGCAGATAACACAAGCAAAACATATCAGTAAGACCCCAGAAGAGCTGTCAACCCCTACCATGGCAGCATAGTTATTCTTGTCGGGCTGGATGATCTTCAGGTCCAGGATGAGCTCAGCAAGCACCAGGAGGGCATCCAGAACCACCAAGCAGATGATGATGACCTGTGGGCCGAGGGAAGGTGCCAGAGATCATGAGACCCCCACAGAGGCCCTCCCTCTCCCATCATTAAGAGCTGGCTTGGAAGCACGTGGGTGAAACCACTGGGCAAAGCCATTAAGGATGGGAGGCTACTGCTATAGCTCGCCAGAGGCCCCACCAGGATGGAGGCTGTGCAGGGCCAGCTCCTCTCTGATAGAAGCTGCCAGCCTCCTTCCCGCCACCCTCCTGGCCTGCTCTGCCTCTAGGCGCTGCCCACCTTCCCTGCCCTCCCAGAACATCTCTGGCTCATTTTCTGACCTTTGGTCACTGTTTCCCAAATACCACCTCTCAAACCAAACTGCCCATACCTAGATGGCAACAAATAATCAGTTTTTTTTTTTTTTTTTGAGACAGAGTCTTGTTTTGTCACCGAGGCTGGAGTACAGTGGCATGATCTCGCCTCACTGCAACCTCTGCCTCCTGAGTTCAAGCAATTCTCCCACTTCAGCCTCCCGAGTAGCTGGGATAACAGGCACGTACCACCATGCCTGGCTAATTTTTGTATTTTTAGTAGAGATGGTGTTTCACCATGTTAGCCAGGCTGGTCTCGAGCTCCTAACCCCAAGTGATCCACCCACCTTGGCCTCCCAAAGTGCTGGGATTACAGGCATAAGCCACCGTGCCCAGGCAAGTTTGTATTTTTCTGTTCCTGGGGACTGCTGTTGCTGGGGTGCTCACAGAACAGATGCTCAATAAATAATTCAACACAGCCCTGCCTCGGCAGTCCGAGTCCTGGAAGGGACCTTGGGGACTGCTGACTGCAGGTTCCTTGGCTACAGGGACGGCTGCTGTGCTTACAAACTAGCTTCTGCCTGGAGATGCGAGGTACCTGCCCCAGCTCTCGTGTGCTCATAGTGGGTGAAGATGGTGAAGGGGAGAGGAGTCCTGGTGTCCTGGAGAATTCAGGAGAGCTGCTATGGGAAACACAGCCTCCTGGGCTTTGTGATGGGCTGACAGAGGACAGGTGGGGAGCAGTGTGGAGTGGGTGGGTGGTCTCACTGATGGTGGCTGTGGGAAGCAGCTGGTGGTGATGGCAGTCACGGTGACAGCTGGTGATGATGTTGGCGAGGGCACTGATGGCAGGGTGGAGGTGACAGTGTTGGGGTTACCATAATGGCAGTGGAGATGCAGCAGTGGGAGGAGCCCCAAAGGACCTCGAGTGACCCTTCTCTTCCCTTGGAAATTCCAGGCCATCACCGTACCCACCCCCCCGCCAGGGCCTTGCCGCTCACACTCTCAGATCAGTAGATTCTGGCCTCTGAAAATTAACCTGCCATTATCTTGGCAATTTCTGCAGTTTCAGGTTAAAATTAAACAAGTTCAGGCCTCTGCAAGAACAGACTATTAATCCTTTGATCCTTTCAACCTGTAGGTAATTATTTCAGTAATTAAAGTATTATGATGTGGTTTCTTGTGAAAATTGCATGGCAAATTGCTTTGTAATGAAGTTTTCACACATATTCAAATTCAGCAAGCTTAATAAAGGTGCAAGCCTCTAGTAGGGTTTTTGTTGTTGTTTTTCCTTGGTTTTATTTTGGAACTAAAGGGATCTGAGAGCTCATGTGAGGTAAAACCAAGTCACAGAGCTACAAGGAACAGACCCAATATTCAGCCATGAAAAGGATGAGGTTCTGACCCCCGCTCCTATGAAATCGTCATTCTAAGTCAAAGAAGGCAGACAGACAAGATCACACATTATATGATCCCATCTAATGAAATGTCCAGAAATGGCAAATCCAGAGACAGAATGCAGGTTCACAGTTGCCCAGGGCTAGGGGAGGGGGAATGGGGAGTGACTGCTAATGGGTACCAGGTTTCCATTTGAAAATGCTCTGGGGCCGGACACGGTGGCTCATGCCTGTAATCCCAGCACTTTGGGAGGCAGAGGCGGGCAGATCACCTGAGGTCAGGAGTTCGAGACCAGCCTGGCTAACATAGTGAAACCCTGTTTCTACTAAACATACAGAAAATTAGCTGGGCATGATGGTGTGTGCCTGTAATCCCAGCCACTTGGGAGGCTGAGGTAGGAGAATCGCTTCAACCTGGGAGGCGGAGGTTGCAGTGAGCCGAGATCGCACCATTGCAGTCCAGCTTGGGCAACAAGAGTGAAACTCCATCTCAAAAAGAAAAAAGAAAAAAAAAAAAAAAGAAAATGCTCTGGAACTAGATAGTGGTGACTTGTACAACACTGTGAATGTGTTAAATAAATGCCACAGAATCATTTACTTAAAAATGATTGTTATGTGAATCTCACCTCAATTTAAAAAAGAAACAATGCAAAAGAAAAATGAGAGACAGACCAACCTAAGGTCACAAAACTACGATGCCAGGATAATAACCCCAGCCTCTATGAAAACTCATCCCTGGGGCCCTGAATCTGCCAGTTCACAGGGAGTGTTGCTTCTTAGGGGAACCAGGTCACAAGGAAAATTGCTGAGAATTCAGAGAAGCTGCTTCATTCTAAATCCTCACCCTGGCAAAGACTGCAGAGTCCGTGCCGTGGGGCGGCCAGTCCTGGGCTCAGCTCCCAACTCCCCCATCTGCCTGGACCTTGGACACATCTCTCAATGCTGGAAGCTTCAGCGTCCTCTCGGGGAAAGTGGGGTGGGCCACATTTTCTACCCCAGAGCAACAATGGGAGCATGACGTGAGTGAAGTATGAAGGGCGCTTAGCACACGGCTGGCCTGCGGTGCATGGGAATGAAAGTGAAGCTCCCTGACTCCTGGGACCACTTTCCCTTGGCTCCACTCTGTCCTGTCATTCATGGCTTCCTTGGGCCCTGAATAACCCTGTATTCTCTCCCTTGGTTGTGCCATCCCATGTAAGAAGGGACCTCAATTAACTATTAATATATCAAGCACCTTGGCCATCTCAAACCACCCAAGAAAGGGATCCCAGGAGCTTCCTGGATGCCGATCCTACCTGCAGAGACTACAACCCCTGAGCCTCACCACCTACTCCAGTGTGGCCTCACTGCTGCCACCAAGTCCCTCCACAAATCTGATCTCCCACCCACACACTTAGAGCTTTCAAAGGCAGCCCATGACCCGTGGATGACCTTCCCTGGCCTCTTCTCTTGCCAATTGCCTGCTGGCAACACCCATACCCGATCCACGTGCGCCCTTCTCAATTCCTCCAATGCTGCAGGTCCTTGGCAAACGAAGCCCCTCTACCTGGAAGCCTCCCACGCCATCCACCCATCGGGCTCACTCCTGCTCAGCATGCAGGTGTCACCTCCTTCGACTCCAGTCCCTGATCAGGTCCCCCCACCCCCAGGACCTCTCAGAGCCCCCCTCCTCCCTGCGGAGGGCTTCTCTCCATTTGTAACCAATGTGTGTCTCAGTGATGGCTCCCGTCATTCCTGCCTTTCTGCAGCCTGCCAAATCCTCAATGAGGGCAAAGATGTGTCTGCCACATTTGTCACTGTACACAGCAGGTGCTCAATAAGTGACTGTTGGGTGGGTGAATAAACACCTCCACTCACTTTATGACAGGCATTCGTCTTTTTCCCCAGCAGGAGTATCTGGGTGTCCCAGCTCAGGGGCCAGTCCCCAGCCCTAAGCCCAGGCAGGAGGGGGATATCCTGATGGGGCGGCCCAGGGCTCCCCTTGCAGCTGCAAGGAAGCTGTTTCCTTCCTTCTGCTCCTGAAATTGAGGGTTTGGGATTTCAAACCCAACAACTTAATAGCATGTTTCCTTTCCCATCACAGCCACAGAGAAGCTGGGTCGCCAGGCGCTCTGGCATGTCAGCTGGCTTGCTTTGCTGCTTTCAGCTTTGCTGCTTTCAGCCACACAAGAGAGTGGGGAAAAAAAAAGACCAAAATAATTTTTTTTTTCTCTTTTACCCTGGAGTAAAGTCAGCAATGGAAGAGGCAAGGGCTACATTTCTCTGCTTCCAGAAGAGGGACAGGCTCTATTTCAGCCACACAAGAGTGGGGAAAAAAAAGACCAAAATAATTTTTTTCTCTTTTACCCTGGAATAAAGTCAGCGATGGAAGAGGCAAGGGCTACATTTCTCTGCTTCCAGAAGAGGGACGGGTCTATTTTGTTTGGGGACACCTGCAATAGCATCCCCTAAATGCCCACCTTTGAGAACTGTGGGCTTCCCTGTGGTCTCCAGACCTGTGCCCTCCCAGGACTTGAATGTGTTTCCAGGCACCCAGACATAGGCTCTGCCACCTTGGGGATGGGGATTGGGTCCAGAGAGGGCTGACCAGACTCCACTTGCATTTGTCCCTCAAAATCAGAAATGTCCTTCTAGACTGTGTATGGTGGCTCACGCCTGTAATCACAGCACTTTGGGAGGCCAAGATGGGAGGATCACTTGAGGCCAGGAATTCGAGACCAGCCTGGGCAACATAGCAAGATCCCATCTCTTAAAAAAAAAGCCCTTCTAAATGGCGGGACATGGCCAGGCATAGTGGCTCACGCCTGTAATCCCAGCACTTTGGGAGGCTGACACGGGTGGATCACTTGAGGTCAGGAGTTTGAGACCAGCCTGGCCAATGGTGAAACCCCGTCTCTACCAAAAATACAAAAATTAGCCAGGTGTGGTGGCAGGCACCTGTAATCCCAACTACTTGGGAGGCTGAGGCAGGATAGCTTGAACCCAGGAAGCAGAGGTTGCAGTGAGCTGAAATCATGCCACTGCACTCCAGCCTGGGTGACAGAGCAAGACTCTGTCTCCAATCAATCAATCAATCAATGGCAGGACAGTTGGCCGGGCACGGTGGCTAATACCTGTAATCCCAGCACTTTGGGAGGCTGAGGTGGGTGGATCACCTGAGGTCAGGAGTTCAAGACCAGCCTGACCAACATAGTGAAACCCTGTCTCTACTAAAAATGCAAAATTAGCCAGGCGTGGTGGCAGGCGCCTATAATCCCAGCTACTCGGGAGGCTGAGGCAGGAGAATTGCTTGAACTCCACAGAAAGTTCAGTTCCCTTCGCTCGTCTGTGAGGACCACCCCAGCTCTGCTTTCTCCCTGCAACCACACCTGGAGACTATCAGCAGTGGGCTAAGGCCAGGACAGGCAGGTATTTTGGGCATCACTCCACAAGAGAGACTGAGGCCCCCAGCGTGATGGGTCTCCATGAGGCAGGGGAGCCTCTGGCACTGAGTGTTCGCAGAGTGAACAGATGAGTGTTTTTTCTGTCTCCGTTATTTACCCTTTATTTATTTTTTTTGTGTGTGGTAAAATTTGCATAACGTAAAATTTACCATTTTAAAGTTGGCGTAAAACTTAGTGGCATTCAGTCCATTCACAAGGTTGTGTAACCATCACCACTATAATTCCAGAACATTTTCATCTCCTCAAATGGAAACACTCCCACCTGTGGCAGCCGCCAATCTGCTTCCTGTCTCTATGGATTTGCCTGTTCTAGATGTTTTGTATCAATGGAATCCTACACTCTGGCCTTTTGTGTCTGGCTTCTTTCCCTCAGCACCATGTTTTCAAGGTTCATCCACATTGTGGCATGGATCAGCACTTCTTTGCTTTTGATGTTGGAATCATATTCCACTGTATGGATAGAACACATTCGGTTTAACACTCATCCATTGGTGGACCTTTTGCTTTTGGATCATGGCTCTTTTCTCCCTGACAACTTGAGATCTGCCTACCGCATTCCCAGCACGGTACAGGGTCCCCGGCACGTGGTAGGTGCTGGGCAAACACTCGTAGAATGAATGAGGCAGTGGCCAAATGGGCTCAGCCTGGCCGCCTGCCTCACATTCCCCGATGGCTCTCCTGCCAGCTCTGGGTATCCCGGACTCCTGCCCCACCTACCTGAAACCTGTGGGAGCTGAACAGTTTCCTCAACATGCCCCTGAAGTCAAGGGGGGCCCTGGGTGCGGGGCCAGGGGCAGGGGCAACGTCAGGGGCTGCAGCTCTGCCTTCCTCGCCTGAGACTGGTGTGGGTGGTGGCTGCTCCTCCTCCTCCTCCTCCTCTTCATTCTCCCATTTCTTGTAGTTGATGTTCCAGGCATGGTAGTCGTCTCCCACGACCGTGAAGTGCCTTAAGAACTTGCTCATCCTCTCAGCGGGAGCCACCTTGGCCCTGCGGGTGACTGCCTAGAAGGCGGGGACAGAGAGCAAGAGCTTCAGGCAGTTGGCCACTCAGAGCCCACATGGCCCAGGCCGGGCCAGGCCACTGCAGGTGAAGATGGTCCCGGGTGCGTAGAACCCCCTGCAAGCAGAGACCATGAGGTCACGGTGGTTTCTCGTGCTTTTATTTTTGGAATCCAGGGTCTCAGTGTCTATGAGGCAACAGGAAACTCCTGCCCCCAGCAGGCCTGTCACTGTGGTCTGGTTGGCAGTAACCAACGGAATCAGTACTGCAGCCCGGTCCCAAAACACCCGCCACGGGCCCATGTGTGAATACCGGAAGGGCGGCCCCAAGGTTCAGAGACATCACAACCTGGAAACTGGAGGGGCCAGTGGGCAGGGCGTGGGGAGGAGAAGCCAAAAGTAAAAGTACCCAGAGTTTCATAGAAAAGTCACGAGATCCCCACCCATCACGCCACACATCCTGACAGGCGCGTGGCAGATGGACATTTTCCAAGTTCAGCCAGTGCTATTCACACGGACAGTTGTTTAAAGCAAAAGCAAATATCCCTGTGCCCTCTCTCCACTTTACCCAACTTGCCCTACCAGGTATCAAATTTACATAAAGTTAAATAATTGAAATGTATAGGTATGAGTGCAAGAGCAGGCTACATGACTACTGGAACAGGAAGAGAGAGCCCAATGGAAGAGAGAGCCCAATGTCCCTGAGGGAGCCTAAAGGAGATGGGGTGGCCGTCCAGACTCACGGGAAAGAAAGGCTGGAGAGGCTGGGACACCTGGCTTTGTCAATAGGAAAAAAAAATCCATTCCCCACCTTGCCCCCCACACAGAATACATCTGAGATGCACTTACATGAATGTGTAAAGTGTATTTAAAAAGGAACAACTTAAAAAGTCTTAGAACAAAATACAGGCCAGTAACTTCATGAGCTTAGGATAGGAAAAGATTGCTTAAATAACACAAAACACCACAAAATAGGGTGCGCATGGTGGCTCATGCCTATAATCCCAGCACTCATTCCATGGGCTAAGGCAAGTAGATTGCCTGAGGTCAGGAGTTTGAGACCAGCCTGGCCAACATGGCAAGACCCCATCTCTACAAAAAATACAAAAATTAGCTGGGTATAGTGGCGCATGCCTGTAATCCCAGCTACTCAGGAGGCTGAGGCCCCAGAATCGCTTGAAGCTGGGAGGCGTGGGTTGCAGTGAGCCAAGATCATGCCACTGCACTCCAGCCTGGGCAACAGGTTGAGACCTTGTCTCAAAACACAAACAAACAACACAAAAACAAACACAAAATGCATAGATTTGACTGCATCAAAACTAAAAGCTTTATTATGACACACTGCCCCCCCACACACACCCTACAAAGTTAAAAGATATACTACAGACTGGGATAAATATTTGCAATGTATGTGATAGACAAAGAGTAACCAGAATATATAAAGAAATCTTATAAATCAAAAAGAGAAAGAAAAACTCCATGGAAAACTGGGCAGTGGACGTTGACAGGCAGGTCATGTAAGAGAAAACTCAAATAGCCAAGATGCTTATCCCCAATAATACTCAGAAAAACGCAGAGTGAAGTAACAATAGCACATCTTTTCACTCCTCAGGTTGGCAAGTGTCTTAAAGTCTACATCAAATATCGGTGAGGGCGTGAAGCAATGGGGTCTCTTGAACACTGAAGACAGAAACAGGCACCAGCACCATCATTTTGGGGAGAAATTTGGCATGATCTTGTCAAGTTGAAGTGGTGTGTATCTTTCTGAATGATTTAGTGATTCTATCCCTACATAGGGTCCAAAGAGAAACTTGGGCACATGTGCTCAAATTGGTGACATGTTCAAAAATGTTCACTGCAAATATTCACCTAGTTGGGCAGGTGTGGCAGCTCACACCTGTAATCCCCACACTTTGGGAGGCTGAGGTGGGAGGATTGCTTGAGCCCAGGAGCTGAGACCAGCCTGCGCAATAAGGCAAGACCCTGTCTGCAGAAAAATAAAAAAAATTAGCCAGGCATGGTAGCACACCTGTAGTCCCAGCTACTTGGGAGGCTGGGGCAGGAGGAGTGCTTGAGCTTGGGAGGTCGAGGCTGCAGTAAGCCATGTTCTCCAGCCTGGGCAACAGAGTGAGACGCTGTCTCAAAAAAAAAAAAAAAAAAAAAAAAAAGAATAAAAAAGAAAAAAAATTTATCTACATGTGGGAGATAGAGGAATGAATATTCTCTGTTCATGTAATGGGACACTATACAGCAGTTAAAATGAATTAACTGCGTCTCAGTATGTCACTGGTGATGCCCATGTGTACCCACTCGGCAGCACTGAATACAGTAGAACAATCACTTCTTTCTTCAAATGCTTCCTTCATTGGCTTCTGGGATGCCACAGTCTCCTGGTTTTCCTCCTATCTCAGTGGTTGTTTCCTGTTAGTTTCTTTTGGCCAGTGGATATCTTAGAGGAAGACCTTACATTTAATTTTCTTTTCTTTTTTTTAAAAAGAGGATCTCACTTGTCACCCAGGCTAGATGCAGGGGTGCGATCATAGCTCACTACAGTCTTGAATTCCTGTGCTCAAGCAATTCTCCTGCCTCAACCTCCCGGGTAGTTTGGACTGTGGCACACTATAACGTGTCTGGCTAATTAAAACAATTATTTTTTTAGAGATGGGGTCTTGCTATGTTACCCAGGCTGGTCTTAAACTCCTAGGCTAAAACAACCTTCCAGCCTCAGCTTCCCGAGTAGCTGGGATTACAGGTACATGCCACTGTGCCTGGCTTACATTTAAGTATTAAGTACAACTGTATACCCAGCACCTAGAAAAATGCCTTGCACTTAACAGACACTCAAAAATACTGAAATGTTTGTTAAGCAACAATGAATCTAGCAATGTGGATAGCTCCTAAAAAATGTTGACTGTAAAAGAAAGATATGGAAGAATAAGAACAATGTCACACCACTTAAGTAAAAATGTTAAATATATGGAAAATATTATATATTGTTTTGGAATGTGTAAAAGCATGAGTGTAAACATACACAAGAATGAGATTTCTGCTTCTGGCCTTATTACACTCTAGAGTAACTAGTAACAGATTATCCCTCCTGCCATAACCAATTATAAAACTGGATAAAATATGTGAAATTTACTGTGATCCCTTAGAGAAGAAAAATGAATGAGGCAAACCCTACAATCACCCTGGCTTTGTGCCTGGAGGTACTTTCTGGACTGTGAAGGCAAAGACTATAGTTCAAAGCTATTGAGTCTCCCTCCCCTTGTGAATCTGCTTGGCAATGTACCAGAAATAGGAAAGGTATGCAGAGGAGGAGACCCCAAAATATGGACTTTGGCTGAGTCCTAAACATCGTGTGTGTGGAACAAGATTTCATGAGGCAGGGAAAAATATAACTTTCAGGAAAAAAACTCCTTGGGGTGCTGTGAGCTGAACAACTACCAGAAATTACATAGGACTGGGTTGGGAGATATGTGAGTTCCCAACAGCCAGAGTAGAGAGACCTCATTGAACACCCTAAGCATTCAACAGAAATCCCAGAAAAATCATGCCTTATGAGTAGACCTAATCTAGCTTTATAGGAAGGGCCACATTACACTCATCCCAACAAAGCTTAAAAATAAGCCTTGAAATGAACAAACTGATCCCCAAGTAAATTTACTGCCTGTTGGAACAAAACTCAATACTTTATTAGGAAGACAACAACATAAACTCAACATCATAGATGCATACTGTCTAGCATACAATTAAAATTACTAGACACATAAAGCTGAAAAATGTGGCCCACAACTAATAAAAAAATCAGCTAATAGAAGATTCAAAATGGTTGGGTGCAGTGGCTCATGCCTGTAATCCCAGCACTTTGGGAGGCCGAGGTGGGCAGATCACCTAAGGTCAGGAGTTTGAGACCAGCCTGACCAACATGGAGAAACCTCGTCTCTACTAAAAATACAAAATTAGCTGGGTGTGGTGGCACATTCTGTAATCCCAGCTACTTGGGAGGCTGAGGCAAGAGAATTGCTCGAACCTGGGAAGCAGAGGTTGTGGTGAGCCGAGATCATGCCATTGCACTCCAGCCTGGACAACAAGAGTGAAACTCCATCTCAAAAAAAAAAAAAAGACTAAAAATGTACAGAGATAATAGAACTGGCCAAGAAAGACTTGAAAACAGATATTACAAATATATTCAAGGATTTCAAGGAAAACATAAACTTAATGAGGGAGCAAATAAAAATCTTAATACAGAAATGGAATCTACAAAAAAGATCCAGCTGGCTAGGCATGGTGGCTCACTCATGTAATCCCATCACTTTGGGAGGTCGAGGTGGGCAGATCACCTGAGGTCAGGAGTTCAAGACCAGCCTGACCAATGTGGAGAAACCCCATCTCTACTAAAAATACAAAATTAACTGTGCATCGTGGCACATGCCTGTAATCCCAGCTACTCAGGAGGCTGAGGCAGGAGAATCACTTGAACCCGGGAGGTGGAGGTTGCGGTAAGCCGAGATTGCACCATTGCACTCCAGCCTGGGCAACAAGAGTGAATCTCCATCTCACAAAAAAAGAAGGAAAAAAAAAAAAAGATCCAGATGGATATTTTAGAACTGAAAAGTATATATACGAAATGAAAAATCACTGGATGGGCTTAACAGCTGATAACATATTACCAAAGAAAAGATCAATGAGGCTGGGCACAGTGGCTCATGCCTGTAATCCCAGCACTTTGGGAGGCTGAGGCGGGCGGATCACAAGGTCAGGAGATTGAGACCATCCTGGCTAACATGGTGAAACCCCATCTCTACTAAAAAAAAATACAAAAAAATTAGCCAGGCATAGTGGCCAGCGCCTGTAGTCCCAGCTACTCAGGAGGCTGAGGCAGGAGAATGGCGTGAACCCAGGAGATGGAGGTTGCAGTGAGCCGAGATCGTGCCACTGCACTCCAGCCTGGGCGACAGAGTGAGACTCCGCCTAAAAAGAAAAGAAAAGAAAAGAAAAGAAAAGATCAATGAACTTAAAGACAGGGCAATAAAAAACATCAACTGGAAACACAGGGAGAAAAAAAAGCTGAAAGGAAAAATAAACAGAGCCCCAGGGACCATATCTACTAGTTTAACATGTGTACTTGTAGTGCATGGCCCTCCAGGAACTGGCATCTCTCCTTCCCCACAGCCTCCTCGCCACACTCCAGCCACCCTTCTGTCCCTCTGATGCTCCACACTGAGCCATCACACAGGCTGTTCCCTCAACCTGGAATACTCTTCTCCCCAATCCGAGCTTCGCTTACTCTTGCTTATGCTTGAAATGTCAGCTAAAATGTCAGTTCCTCAAAGAGGCCCTCCCTCACCCCTAAAACCTAAATCAGTTCCCCTCCCATTTATAACCTCTCCTCCCACTTTTCCTTCGAGAGCCCTCATCCTAGTTTCTAACTAGAAACTGTTATGTGCAGCCACATATTTTTATCCCTCCTAGCATTTACCTCACATGAAGGCAGGGTCTGTGTCCCCTGAGTCTTGTATGACACCTGACCTTGAGCAGAAGCCCATCATGCACCTGTTGGCTGAGGGCACTGGTACCTCATCTCCCATGCTGGGCTCATCTCGGCCGGACCAAACATCTCTGGACTCCCAGGGCTGGCCAGGGCCAGCGCCAGGGTATACTGAAGCTCTCCAGGCAGCCACTGGCCATAATTCCTTTCTTTTTGAGACAAAGTCTTGTTCTTGCTCCCCATGCTGGAGTGCAGTGGCATGATCTCGGCTCACTGCAACCTCCACCTCCTGGGTTCAAGTGATTCTCCTGCCTCAGCCTCCCGAGTAGCTTGGATTACAGGCGCTGCCAACACACCTGGCTAAGTTTTGTAATTTTAGTAGAGACAGGGTTTCACCATGTTGGCCAAGCTGGTCTCGAACTCCTGACCTCAGGTGATCCGCCCGCCTCTGCCTCCCAAAGTGCTGGGATTACACGCGTGAGCCACCGTGCCTGGCCATAATTCCCTTTTTTGAGATAGGGTCTCGCTCTGTCACCCAGGCTGGACTGTAGTGTGCGATCACGGTTCACTGCAGCCTTGACCTCCCGGGATCAAGCGATCCTCCCACAAAAGCCTCCTGAGTAGCTGGAACTATAGGCACATACCATCACGCTCAGCTAATTTTTTGTATTTTTTTGTAGAGGCAGGGTTTTGCTATGTTGCCCAGGCTGGTCTCAAACTCCTGGGCTCAAGTGATCCACCCGCCTCGGCCTCCCAAAGTTCTGGGATTACAGGCATGAGCCCATGCCTGACCCCATACTTTCCTTTGGAAACACCTTACCTGGCAGACAAGAGCAGCCTGTCCTATTTCTCAGTAGTGTGGGAACCTCAAGGTACTTTGCAAAAACCGCATTTATATTTTACAGAAGAGGAAATTTTTCTTTCTGAAACCTTGCAACTGGTGAAGAAGCAACTTTTAGTAATTTGGGATGAAAATATCTAGGGCACTCAGCAGAGCAGAAAACATTTCTGGTTTTCAGTCAAAAGTCTGTCATGCCAGAAGCAGAAAAGCTCCAGAAAAGGGCAAAGATAGGGTTGATCAAGAGAATGTGGTGGGCCTCAGCAGCTTCACCATGCACTCCAGACTCCTAGCATTCATGGACAGACTGATCCTGCCACCACGCCCGGCTAATTTTTGTAATTTTAGTAGTGTGGCGTACAGAGCACCTGCCTCGGTGCCTGGCTCAGAGCAGCCCCCAGCTCTGGAAGTGCCAGCTATGATCATCCCTTAACAACAAAAACTCACCTGGGCATGGTGACTCACATCTGCAATCCCAGCACTTTGGGAGGCCAAGATGGGCAGATCACTTCAGGTCAAGAGTTTGAGACCAGCCTGACCAACATGGCGAAACCCCATCTCTATTAAAAACAAACAAAAAAATAGCCAGGCGTGGTGGTGGGCACTTGTAATCCCAGCTACTTGGGAGGCTGAGGCATGAAAATTGCTTGAACCTAGGAGGCAGAGGTTGCAGTGAGCCAAGATCATGCCACTGCACTCCAGCCTGGGTGACAGAGTGAGACTGTCTCAAGAAAACAAAACAAAAAACCCCAAAACTCTTCTCCTCCAGCTTCATCACCATCCTTGGATATTTCATTTCTCTGCCCACTGCCTGCCTCTGCATCCCTCAGGCTGTTAAGTTACATGAGCTGATACAGCCGCTTTGTGGCTTAAGTGACACTGAGCTGTGTTTCTGTCACTTATAACCCCAAAAGTCTACAGGTGGAGTTGCTGATGCGGGACACCCCCACAGCTCCATCTCCCATGCAAGAATCCTTGCTGTCCCCACTGTACCCTGATGCTCCTCTGCGGTCACCTTTCCATATCAAAACCTGTGACCGTGGCTCCAACCTGCCTGACGGTCCCACACTCTTTGACGCTGTTGAATCTGCTGTGCTTGGCAATCTCGCCCCCTGCTTCTCCTGCTATCTCTGGCCACCCTCCTCAGCTTCCTGTACCATGTCCCTGCCCCATACCAGGAGTCCTGGAGACCTCAGCCTTGACCCTGTCCTTGGGCCGGTGACTCTCTCTTTGGGGGCCTTAGCACAGCTGTGTTCTCGGTGCCGTTCACGTTCAAATCAAAGACTCCAGTCTGATGTTCAAGATCCTGCTGGGTCATTGGTTTGCTGTGACCCAACTGACCTGATTTCTTACCTTTCTCTCCCAGTCCACTCCTCCTTCCACATCCCCTAGGGCACGCTGTCACTTACCTGGCTGCCCAGGCCAAGAACAGAAAATCGTCCTTGGCTCCTCCTTCTCCCTCACACCCCATCGGTTTCACTTCCTGAACCTGGCTGGCACTCCATCGTCCCCTCTCCCTCACCAGAACCTGCCCTGACCCTCCCTCCACCTGCCTGCAGCCAGGGTCCTCCTTCTCCAATGCCAACCTGACTGTGTCCCTGCTGTGCAGCGACCTCCATGCCCACAACTGCCTTCAGGATCGAGTCCCAGCTCTCTTGGCTTCCCCAGGCCCTGGTCTCCCTGCCAGCCTTATTCCTTCCTAGCACCCTGCCTCTGCCAGCCTCCAGCCACATGGAACTTGCAGTTCTAGAGCGGACCACGCTCTCTTGCTTCCAGGACTCCGCATGGCCTGTCCCCATCCCATCTATCTTCCAGGTCTTACACCTAGATTTTACCTTCCCTGGGAGGCCTTCTTTAATTCTCCCTCACCCCAGTTGGGGTGTACGTCACACTGTCTTAACAACCACTGAGACACTGTCCCCACCACATTGGGCTGTGAACGCTGGGAGGGCAGAGACTCTTCCTCAGTCACAGGGAGAGGCTCAAGAAGTGGTTAAGAGGCCGGGCGCGGTGGCTCAAGCCTGTAATCCTAGCACTTTGGGAGGCCGAGACGGGCAGATCACCTGATGTCAGGAGCTCGAGACCAGCCTGACCAACAGGGTGAAACCCCATCTCTACTAAAAATACAAAAATTAGCCAGGCATGGTGGCACATGCCTGTAATCCCAGCTACCTGGGAGGCTGAGGCTGCAGTGAGCCAAGATTGCGCCCCTGCACTCCAGCCTGGGTGACAGAGCGAGACTCCATCTCAAAAAAAAGAAAAAAGAAATGGTTAATAAATGAATGGATTAACAAAATCTTAGGCACTACTCCTTCAAGGTAAACATATTGCTGACCTCTTTTACAGGTATTAGACCAGAAAAACTACCATCTGGGAGAGAAGGGGAAAGTGAAAAAGACAGACCTAGAAGCGAAGGAGAGAAAAGCATTTTGTGGATGCCTATTTTTACAGGCTCAGAAGCCGCCATCTGTGGGAGGGGGAAAGTCCCTAGTTCATTGTTATCTGACAATCGGAGAAAAAGGTACTTTTTAAGAAAGTCAGCCAACTCCCAACTCCCATGGCCTGATGTCCCTTCAGTTTGCATTTCCCTGTTCCCTCCCAGAGCTATTTTGGGGGACTTGATTTGCATATTAACCACCCTCACCCCAAAACTCTAAGACACAATGGCAGCAACGTGTATTACTATGGTTGCTTATTTTATCACACCTCATATCATCTCAGCATGCTGCTAACTTCCTTCCATGCACTATTTCATTTCAATTCCTAACAACCCTGAGGTTGAGGCCATCCTTTAGGGTCCTGGTGAGGGGGGGCCTTGTCCAAGGTCACACACTGTGGGGAACTGGAAAAGCAGGATCTGCCCCTGGGCTCCATGACTTGGAGACTATGTTCTAGAAAACACAGCTGACAGAAAGCCAGGCAGCCAGTGACCGGAGAGCCACCTGCTCAGAGGGTGGAGTAGGTGGAATTGTGCACACCCCCCTAACAATTCCTGTCCCCCTGGACCCTTAGAATGTGACCTTATTTGGAATGTAGGTCTTTGCAGATGTAACTAAAGATGATAAGATGAAATCATACTGGATTTAGGGTGGGCCCTAAATCTGGTGATTGGTGTCCTTACAAAAAGAGAAAAGGGGCCAGGCGCGGTAGCTCACGCCTGTAATCCCAGCACTTTGGGAGGCTGAGGTGGGTGGATCACTTGAGGTCAAGAGTTCAAGACTAGCATGGCCAACATGGCAAAACCCCGTCTCTACTAAAAATATAAAAATTGACCAGGTGCAGTGGCTCATGCCTGTAATCCCAGCACTTTGAGAGGCCAGGGTGGACAGATCGCCTGAGGTCAGGAGTTCAAGACCAGCCTGCCCAACACATTGAAAACCTGTCTCTACTAAAAATACAAAAATTAGCCGGGCGTGGTGGTGGGTGCCTGTAATCCTAGCTACTCCGGAGGCTGAAGCAGGAGAATCGCTTGAACTCGAGAGGCTGCAGTGAGCCGAGATCATGCCATTGCACTCCAGCCTGGGAGACTGAATGAGACTCGGTCTCAAAAACAAAAAAAGAGAAAAGGACACACAGAGGGTAAGGTCACGTGAAGGTCACAGAGGTCAGAATGATACGTCCACAAGCCAAAGACTGCAGACAACACCAGAGGCTGGGATGGAAGAGGCCTGGGACACATCTCCCCATCCCAAAGCGTCCAGGAGCCAGTCCTGCCAACACCTTGATTTTGGGCTTCTGGTTTCTGGAACTGGTGAGAATGAGTTCCTGTTGTTGAAGCCCCCCAGTTTGTAGTAGTTTGTCACAGCAGCCACAGGCAACCAGGACAGAGGGTGTGTGCCTGAGTTAGCCAGGATGGTCTGTAGGCCAGGTACTGTCTTTCCCTTTATCTTTCCGGGCCACACATTTGTCCTGGACTCCAAGGAGAAAGCCGACTTCTTCAGGGCCCAAAACCACTTGGAGAAAGCCCGATTCTGCAGCCAACAACAGCGACAGCGGCTCCTTTTGCTCAGAGCCCACCGGTCACATCACCTGCTGTCGCTTGATACTTTTAATGCTCCTAAGAAGTAGGCAGGAAGGGTAGGTGAAGTCTCTCCATTTTGCACAAGGGCAAACTGAGGCCTGGGGAGGCGAGACCACTTGCCTGAAGTCACACCGTGCCGCACATTTTGGCAGGGTGACAGAGGCAGAGGGAAGTGGGCACTCCTGTATGCCAGCTGTTGGGCATGTAAATGGGTGTATTCTTCCTAGGAGGGTAACAGGGCAGTTCCTTTCATCTTTTGAAAAAATATTTGAGTCTCTCTGATGTGCCAGGCTTGGGGACAAAGGAGGGGATTGGCCCTAAACCAATTTATATCAAAATTTTATTTCCTTTTTATTGAGATGGGATCTCATTTTGTTGTTCAGGCTGGAGTGCAGCCGCAAACTCCTGGGCTCAAGCAATCCTCCCGCCTCAGCCTCCCAAGTAGCTAGGACTACAGGTGTGTGCCACCATGGCTACCTTGGTTTCTATCAACATTTAAAATGTCCTTATTGCTTGACTTTACAAGAGACTCCCACGTGCACACAGGTGCTTGCTCCAGTCCTGCTTCAAGAGCCCTAAACCGGAAACCACCTCAAAGTCTGTTGCCCAGGACACCATGGAAGACCCACACCACAGAGCACCACACCACTGTGTGGCAGGCCTGTAGACCTCACACACCCACAGGGAAAGGGGTCCTCAATCTACGATTATGGGAAAACTGACAAAATCAACCCCAACTCCCAGGAGGAGAGAGGGACTGGGTTGGTGAGTGAAACTTTGCATTTTTTTTTCTAATAGGTTTGGCTGATACCAAACCTATTAGATATGATTTGGTTTGGCTGTGTCCCCACCCAAATCTCAACTTGAATTACCTCCCAGAATTCTCATGTGTTGCTGGAGGCACCCGGGGGAGGTAACTGAAACATGGGGGCCAATCTTTCCCATGTGATTCTCATGATAGTGAACAAGTCTCACAAGATCTGATGGGTTTATCAGGGGTTTCTGCTTTTGCTTCTAATTTTCTCTTGCTGCCGCCACATAAGAAGTGCCTTTCGCCTCCTGCCATAATTCTGAGGCCTCCCCAGCCATGTGGAATTGTAAGTCCAATTAAACCTCTTTTTCTTCCCAGTCTCAGGTGCGTCTTTATCAGCAGTGTGAAAACTAATACAGTAAATTGGTACCAGTAGAGTGGGACATTGCTGAAAAGATACCTGAAAATGTGGAACCAACTTTGGAACTGGGTATCAGGCAGAGTCTGGAATAGTTTGGAGGGCTCAGAAGAAGACAGGGAAGTGTGGGAAAGCGTGGAACTTCCTAGAACTTGTTGAATGACTTTGCCCAGAATGCTGATAGTGATCTGGACAATAAGGTCCAGGCTGAGGTGGTCTCAGATGGAGATGAGGAACTTTTTGGCAACTGGAGTAAAGGTGACTTTTGGCATGTTTTAGCAAAGAGCTGGCAGCATTTTGCCCCTGCCATAGAGATTTGTGGAGCTTTGAACTTGAGAAAGATGATTTAGGGTATCTGGCAGAAGAAATTTCTAAGCAGCAAAGCATTCAATGCCTGCTGTTAAAGGCATTCAGTTGTATAAGGGAAGTAAGGCATAAAAGTTTGGAAAATTTGCAGCCTGATGATGTGATAGAAAAGAAAAACCCATTTTCTGGGGAGAAATTCAAGCCAGCTACAGAAATTTCCATAAATAGCAAGGAGCCTAATGTTAATCCCCAAGACCTTGGGAAAATGTCTCCAGGCCATGTCAGAGACCTTCACAGCAGCCCCTCCCATCACAGACCCAGAGGCCCAGGAGGAAAAAGTGGTTTCATGGGCCTAGGGACTTGGTGCCCTGTGTCCAGCTGCTCCAGCTGTGGCTGAAAGGGGCCAACATACAGCTCAGGCTGTGGCTTCAGAGGGTGGAAGCCCCAAGCTTTGGCAGCTTCCACGTGGTGTTGAGCCTGCAGGTGCACAGAAGTCAAGAATTGAGGTTTGGGAACCTCTGCCTAGATTTCAGATGTTTGGAAATGCCTGAATGCCCAGCCAAAAGTTTGCTTCAGGGGTGGGGCCCTCATGGAGAACCTCTGCTAGGGCAGTGCAGAAGGGAAATGTGGGGTGGGAGCACCCACACTGAGTCCCTTCTGGGGTATCACCTAGTAGAGCTGTGAGAAGAGGGCCACAGTCCTCCAGACCCCAGAATGGTAGATCCACCAATAGCTTGCACCATATACCTGGAAAAGCCACAGACACTTAATGTCAGCTCATGAAAGCAGCCAGGAGGTGGGTTATACCCTGCAAAGCCACAGGGGCGGGGCTGCCCAAGACTATGGGAACCTACCTCTTGCATCAGCCTGACCTGGATGTGAGACATGGAGTCAAAGGAGATCATTTTGAAGCCTTAGAATTTGACTGCCCCACTGGATTTCAGACTTGCAGGGACCCTGTAACTATTTTGTTTTGGTTAATTTCTCCCATTAGGAACAGCTGTATTTACCCAATACCTGTAACCCCCCTGCATGTAGGGAAGTAACTAGCTTGTTTTGATTTTTACAGGCTCATAGGCAAAAGGGACTTGGTTTGTCTCAGATGAGACTTTGGACTGTGGACTTTTGGGCTAATGATGAAGTAAGACTTTGGGGGACTGTTGGGAAGGCATGATTGGTTTTAAAATGTGAGGATATGAGATTTGGAGGGGTCAGGGGCAGAATGATGTAGTTTGGCTGTGTCTCCACCCAAATCTTAACTTGAATTATATCTTCCAGAATTCCCATGTGTTGTGGGAGGGACCCAGGGGGAGGTAATTGAATCATGGGGGCCAATCTTTCTCATGCTATTCTCATGATAGCAAATAAGTCTCACAAGATCTGATGGGTTTATCGGGGTTTCTGCTTTTGCTTCTCTCTCATCACCTCTTGCTGCCACCATGTAAGTGCTTTTCGTCTCCTGCCATGATTCTGAGGCCTCGCCAGCCATATGGAACTATAAGTCCAATTAAACCTCTTTTTCTTCCCTGTCTCAGGTATGTCTTTATCAGCAGCATGAAAACAAATACAAGGTTTATCCCTAAGAAATTGCCATTTTTGGACTGAGATCCAGCCTGCAGGGAGTTAAGTGGTGAATGAAGTATTTAGTGGAGGTGGGAAGAGAAGGAACCAATATATTCATAACTGGAATCCCTGAATAAGAAAATGAGATTAATAGACTAGAACAAAGATATAATTCAAGAAAACTTTTCTGATATAAAAGAGGACTTAAAAGTGCCATCTTTGTAGATAAAAACTAGAAGAAATTGATAATTTCATATGATTCAACCTAATATATACCTGTTTGCTGTTTTAATTTATTATGCTATACATATGTTCATGTAGCGTTGTTAAAAAACAAACATAAAGCTGGGTGCGGTGGCTCATACCTGTAATCCCAGCGCTTTGGGAGGCCAAGGCTGGTGGATCACCTGAGGTCAGGAGTTCAAGACCAGCCTCACCAACGTGGGGAAACCCCGTCTCTACTAAAAATACAAAAATTAGCCAGGCGTGGTGGCGCATGCCTGTAGTCCCAACTACTTGGGAGGCTGAGGCAGGGGAATTGCTTGAACCTGGGAGGCGGAGGTTGCAGTGAGCCAAGATCGTGCCACTGCACTCCGACCTGGGTGACAGGGCAAGACTCCATCTCAAAAGAAACAGAAAACCAAAAATAAAATAAAATCATAAGTAAGTGATAAAGCCAGCACAGGAACTCAAGTCCGCTAGCTTTGTTCTTTTCTCTGCCAATACAGAGAAAAAAATGGCAGAAAAGTAGATTTTTTTTTCAGCAACAAAAATGACATTTTAGAGATGGGACTGGGAGTGGTGGCTCATGCCTGTAATCCCAGCACTTTGAGAGGCTGAGGTGGGTGGATTGCTTGAGCCCAGGAGTTCAAGACCAGCCTGGCCAACATGGTGAAACTCTATCTCTACTAAAAATACAAAAATTAGCTGGGGGTGGTGGTGGTGCATGCCTATAATCCCAGCTACTTGGGAGGCTGAGGCATGAGAATCACTTGAACCTAGGAGGCAGAGGTTGCAGTGAGCCGAGATAATGCCATTGCACTCCAGCCAGGACAACAGAACAAGATTCTGTCTCAATAATAATAATAATAAAATAAATAAATAAGAGATGGGATCAAGGTTCTGAGATGCAGTCTTACCTCCCTTAGCAGAGGAGCAAACTGAAGACTGCAACATGGTAACCACCACCTGTCAGTGGACAGTCCACAGACTTGCAGCTGGGTGTGCTGCTTCCTGGTCCAGGGTCTTAACACCACCCAGGCAGGGCCAGAGCGGCTGTCCCCAGTCCTAGCTTCACTCATCCTCCCCTATAGCCCTGTCCAGCATTAAGCCTGGTGCATTTCAGCAACTAAATGACCCCTGATCTGCCACCTACTTCCCCCACCCTCTGCCACTGCCCTGGCCAACCCCCTGCCTCACTTGGAGGCTGTCGCAGCTCCTCTCTGCTCTCTCCTTCCCTGCTGCATTCTCCATCAGCTGCAGGAGAGCATCCCTCCAAGCATGACTACATCACTCCCTGTGCAGAAAAGGGCCAGCCCAGCGGTCCCGAGGCTGCCTTCCTCAGACAGGCCTGCCTGGCCTCCACTGGCATCTGGGAATTTGGACTTCTGGAAAATTCCCGCCATTCCCTGATAAGAGCAGCTCATTGTGCCTAGACTGCTTGTGGAAACAGCATGGTTTATGCTGAACTCCTACTTTCATTTGGAGAGTATGGAATTTTTCTAAGTGCCAGGCAGAGGGTACCTCTGTGCCCAGCTCCAATGAAAACTCTGGGCATTGGGTCTCTAAGGAACTGCTCTGCTTGCAAACACTTCACACATCTTGTCACAACTCCCTGCTGGAGGAAATAAGTGTGACCCCAAGGACCTCTGCCCCCAACCCAGGAGAGGGCTCTGGAAGCTTGTGCCAGGTTTTTTCTGAACTTCACCCCACGTGCCTTTTCCCTTTACTGATTTTAATTTCAATCCTTTTGTGGCAATTAATCTGAGCCAGGAGCACATCTGCATGCGAGTCCCACAGGTCCTCCTAGTGAGTCACTGACACTGGGCATAGGGTCTCGGGAACCCTGACACACTCCCTTATTTAAAACTTTTGGCTGGGTGCAGTCACTCACACCTGTAATCCCAGCACTTTGGGAGGCTGAGGGGGATCACTGAGTTCAGGAGTTCAAGACCAGCCTGGGCAACAGAGTGAGACTCCGTCTCTACAAAAAAATCTAAAAATTAACCAGGTGTAGTGGTGCTCGCCTCTAGTCCCAGTTACTTGGGAGACTGAGAGAGGCGGATCGCTTGAGCCCAGAATGTTGAGGCTGCAGTAAGCTGTGATCGTGTCACTGCACTCCAGCCTGGGTGATACAGCAAGACCTTGTCTGTTAAAAAAAAAAAAGACATCAATGCCTCCCAGAAGCCCACTCCTGTTTTGCACGCTCTATCTAGCCTCTGTCTGCCCATCTTCTCACCTTCCCTCTCACCTCTGTCCCCACTCTGGCCACATTGAGCCTTTCATACTTGGCTGGTTTCTCCAACCACAGGACCTTTGCACACGTGACTTCTTTTGCGTAGAATGTGCAACCCCCTTTCACCCTGTCCTCTATCTTCTTCTTCATCTCAGCTCTCAGGAGCTGGCCAGGCCTTCCCCATCACACTCTCATGTGGCCCAGCTGTTCACAGCATGACCTCTGTGCCTGGCAGACCACAGGCTCCTGCTAAACATACCTCCTGGATGGTGGAAGGTGGAATGAAACCCCTGAGCAAATCTCTTCTCTGTGGGGAGGCAAGAGGACTCCAAGCAGCAGGCTCAGCTGCCCCCAGCACTTCTCCCTTCCTGCCCCAGGGGATCCGTGTTCTGAGGAAGGCCTATTTTTAAAATCAGGGAAGTCTTTAAATAAGTGTAGAAACTTTTCCTTCTCTAGGGTGGGGAGGAAGTCTGAGGTTCATGAAAACAACCACCGTGACAGCTGATCAGCTCTGGCAGGAGGAGCTGCTTACAGGCTGAGGGGCTTAACTGGCAGCCCAGGTTCCCCTAAAGCCATGCTCCCCAACTGTCTCCTTTTCTATAGGGTTAGGAACCCTCCTGCCTGATAGATGAGCCGGTCAGCCTGGTGAGATGATGGCAGGGCTGCATACAGACTATATGGGACATATTTACAGGAGTAGGAACTGTAATCATTCCAACTATCCCCAGAATACCTGCTATTTAATATTTTCTGAGCTCTGTGCAAAGACCTTCATTAACATACTGTAACAAGCCCATGAGGCGGGGACTGCAATGTCTCTGTTTATGGATGAGGAAACTGAGAACAGAGAGGCCAGTGACTTGCCCCAGGTCACACAGCCAGCGAGAAGCAAGGCTAGGATTCCAACCCAGGCTGCCAAGCCCAGCTCCCCCTCCTCCTGCGGGACCCCTCATGAACACTGCCCAGCCCTGCACCCTCCTCACAGCTGGGGAAGCCCCATGCTGGGAAGGGAGTTTGGAGCGGTGTTTCTCAATAAGAAATCACATTTCATACCCTGCATCTCAGTACACACTGACTTGTGTACACACATTCCATAACTAGCACTGAAGTTACTATGTGAGGCGCTCTTATTTTCCATTTCATTCTATTTCTTTTTTTTTTTTTTTTTTTTTTTTTTTTTGAGACAGGGTCTCACTCTGCCACCTAGGCTGGAGGGCAGTGGCATGATTAGGACTCACTGCAGCCTCAACGTCCTGGGCTCAAGAGATCCTCCCACCTCAGCCCAGGAAGTAGCTGAGACTACAGGTATGCACCACCACGCCTGGCTAATTTTTTGTATTTTTAATAGAGATGGGGTTTCTCCATGTTACTCAGGCTGGTCTCAAACTCCTGACCTCAAGTGATCCGCCTGCCTTGGCCTCCCAAAGTGCTGGGATTACAGGTGTGAGCCACTGCACCTAGCCCTATTTCATTTCTTAAAAGGTCGACTGTAGCCCACTCAATGGATTTCAGGACTCACCAATGCGTTGAGTTTAAAGACACAGTTTTGGGGGGACACGCTTTGCCTATTTCCCTGGGAATGACTGAGAGGGGAGTCTGGTCCAAGCCTGTGACTTCAGTCATGTCAACCAGGAGCAGGGGCTGTGCTATTTGTTTTACAAAAGTGTAGAAAGAAAAAAGAAAAAGTTACCCAGGTAGAAATGAAGAGCTGCCACCTGTGTGACTAGGTCACCTGAGCCAACATCTACTGATGCTTTGGCCATGGAAACCACAGGACACAGAGCTCAGCTATCCCTCTTTCCTCCTTCTGTAGAGGGAGGGGCTGCCTAGGCCAGGCTGCATGTTGGAATCACCTGGCAGCTTTAAGGCACCCCAAAACCTGAGTCCTGGGCTCAGAGCTTCCAATTCAACCCATCTGGGTGTGGTCTGGGTGCTGCGGTGGTGGATGTGCAGCCGAGGTGGGTAAGGAACCCCAGTTGCACCAAGGGCCTCTGCATGCCTCATGCGAAATAAGCCCAGGAGCTGCAGGGATTTCCACACACACCTGGCTCTTAAGTTCCCCAGAGGTGGCTGCTGAGTGCAGTCACCTGTGCCAAGGAACAAGGTCAGCTGAGGGCTGAAAAGCCAGTTCATCCTCATGACAGAGCCAGCAGCTCCCATGTCTTAAATGCAGGCTCGAGCCAGGCACCCGGCTAAGTGTTTTCCGCACGCAATCTTGTTTAACCCTCACCTCAACTCTGTGAGGTAGTGTGATCGTTCCCATTTTACAAAAGAGGAAAACTGGGCCGGGCGCGGTGGCTCACGCCTGTAATCCCAGCACTTTGGGAGGCCGAGGCGGGTGGATCATGAGGTCAGGAGATCGAGACCATCCTGGCTAACAAGGTGAAACCCCATCTCTACTAAAAATACAAAAAATTAGCTGGGCGCGGTGGCGGGCGCCTGTAGTCCCAGCTACTCGGGAGGCTGAGGCAGGAGAATGGCGTGAACCCGGGAAGCGGAGCTTGCAGTGAGCCGAGATTGCGCCACTGCAGTCCGCAGTCCGGCCTGGGCGACAGAGCGAGACTCCGTCTCAAAAAAAAAAAAAAAAGAGGAAAACTGAAGCTTTGGGAGGTGGCAGGGGGCAGAGAGGGGCTCTGAGGAGGGCCGATGAGGCTATCTCAGCAGAACTGCAAGCCAGGTCTGCACCATGGCTACAAAACCCCACCAGTTTCTCTCCTAACACAGCTGTTTTCCTCTCAGAAACGAGGAGAGCTGACACTCAAAAAGCTCTAAAAGCAATCTCATTAAGACAACTTTTTTCCAAAACACAATTAATTCCATAAGGGCAGATCATGAAAAGGAACATGTTCTTCAAACCAGTAAGAGGCTTATTTGCCACAAGCGGTCCTGGCTCTTTCCCCAGCCCCCCAGCAATGTCCTCCTGACAACACCCTCTCAGGCTAGCTTCTGTGTGATGACAAACAGGCTCCAGGCTCCAGGTTCCAGGCCCTGGGAGTTCCCCAAGGTGTGTCCCTGGTTGTGCATTGCAATCCCTACTTCCCTTGCTGTCTCTGTGCCCTGGTATGGGCTTCTGACAAGGTCCTCAGCCACCAACTCATTCCTTCAACCCCCAGCCTCATTTGGAACCCCCAGACTCAAATGCATACCCCCAGCTTGACCTGCTGCCATTTACCCCATGAACAGACCTATAGCCTTGATCTATTTATTACTATTGTGAAAAAAGGAACAAAAGAAAGGGAAATAAATTCATAACAATCCCTGCACACCAAACTTATGTATCATCTACCCATCTACCTCTTTCTCTCCCACCTGTCTTTATCTTTTACAATTATAATCAAAGACAGTGGGCCAGGTGCGGTGGCTCATGCCTGTAATTCTAGCACTTTGGGAGGCTGAGGCAGGTGGATCACTTGAGGCCAGGAGTTCGAGACCAGCCTGGCCAATATGGAGAAACCCTGTCTCTACCAAAACTACAAAACAAAACAAAAAAAACTAGCTGGAGATGGTGGCGCACACCTGTAATTCCAGTTACTAGGGTGGCTGAGGCCCAAGAACCATTTGAACCCAGGAGACGGAGGTTGAAGTGAGCCGAGATTGCACCACTGCACTCTAGCCTGGAAGACAGAACCAGGCCCTGTCTCAAAAAAACAAAACAAAAAAAGGCAGCAGACAATTTTCTATCTTATTTTTTACCACTATATGCGTCAGATTCGCACCTGTTCAGAGGCCAGGAAACTTACCAAGGAGTCAAATGATCTCATTATTGCATTTTGCATGTTTTTAAACCATTTTGGATGGTTTTTAATCCAATTCTAAGACCACGTTTTCTCACATTTTAATGTCTCTGAAATCTGGCTGGGCCTGACAATTGATCGGTTTCAGCCTGTGTTACTTTTTATCACAGTAAATGGCAGCACATGGTTTTGCTTTTTTTCTTCATAGTACATAAAATAAGGTGCACGCATAGTGTTGTCTCATGTGCTAAGAAACATGGTGCCATAAATTGTACTTTTTCTTTTTTATGGGTTCTTTTCCCATAAGTGAGATGACCAGGCTTGAATATGGATATTTTCAAGATTCTTGATACACATGGTCAAATTTTGTGTCTAGAACAGTGGCATGGGTTGACCCAGTCCCCCGTGATATGTATGAGTGAGCTGGTTTCATCACAGTCTAATCAGCATTAAGCATTTCCGAATGTTCTTTTTGGTTTGCCTAATTTAATAGGGAACTACAAATGAAGGAAAAGCATGAACAGTTCCCACTTAACCTTTCTTCCATGCTGACTCTCTTATGAAGGATACCTGGAGCTCCTGGGGCTCCTAACTCTTACAGTTACCAGGGTCATCAATTTGATGAAATACACAATCACCATCATCATCATCATCATCCCGTGGTCATTCTGACCCTCACATTTGCTTCTCAGACTCTGCCCCACTCACCCCTGCTGCTGCCCTGAGCTTCCTGCTCTGCCCTCGCCAGCTTGGCCTGGCTAGGCCCCCAGAACCTCAAGATGAACAGCTGATGTGAAAGTCAACACTTCCTTTCTACCTTGCCCCCAATCTTCACAACCAATGCCCCCCAAATCCAACAAACCTGCACCTCACATATCAAAGACACAGTCTATTTCCTACTCGAGATGGCCATAAGGTACAGGAGGAAAGCATTTCCTCTGGAGTCAGGCCAGGTTGAAATCCCAATTTCTGTTTTTTTTTGGAGACGGAGTTTTGCTCTTGTCACCCAGGATGGAGTGCAATGGTGCGATCTTGGCTCACTGCAACCTCTGCCTCCCAAGTTCAAGCGATTCTCCTGCCTTATCCTCCTAAGCAGCTGGGATTAGAGGTGTGTGTCAGGATGCCTGGCTAATTTTTGTACTATTAGTAGAGATGGGGTTTCACCATGTTGGCCAGGCTGGTCTCAAACTCCTGACTTCAGGTGATCCACCTGCCTCGGCCTCCCAAAATGCTGGAATTACAGGCGTGAGCCACCGTGCCTTTGCCTCCTAAGTTCAAGCAATTCTCCTGCCTCAGCCTCCCTAGTAGCTGGGATTACAGGCGCATGTCACCACGCCTGGCTAATTTTTGTATTTTTGTAGAGATAGGGTTTTGCCATGTTGACCAGGCTCATCTTGAACTCCTGACCTCAAGTGACTTGCCCACCTTGGCCTCCCAAAGTGCTGGGATTACAGGCATGAGCCACCACACCTGGCCTAAAATCCCATTTCTGCCACTTTCTAGCTGTGTGATCTTCAGAAGTGACTTTACTTCTCTGTGCCCAAGCCCTGTATGGGCTCAGTACTTGCCTAACATTCTGAGACCACTGTATTATCAAATCTTCCCGACAATCCTGCAAGGGCAGGGGTGGTAAATAATCTTTTCACTATTTTCCAGATAAGGAAACTGAGGCTCAGGGAATTGAAGGGCACACAGTTATTTTGTGCCTAAGGACACATAGTTATTAACATGCACTGTTCGAGACCAGCCTGACCCACATGCAGAAACCCCATCTCTACTAAAAATACAAAGTTAGCCAGGTGTGGTGGTGCATGCCTGTAATCCCAGCTACTTGGGAGGCTGAGGCAGGAAAATCGCTTGAACCCTGGGGGGCAGAAGTTCTGGTGAGCTGAGATTGCACCATTGCACTCCAGCCTGGGAAACAAGAGTGAAACTCCATCTCAAAAAAAAAAAAACAAAAAAAACCGCACATAGTTATTAACATACAGGGCTGGGATTCAAATGGTCTGATGTGGAATATCAGGCTACTTGGAGGTTTTGTGAAGTCCTTTTACAGCTTTTCATCATTTTGATTTTAAATATTTCAGTATAGTGGAAACACCTGAACAGGGAGTTCTCCCTCTCCTGTTTGAAACACCAAACAGAATTATCCTCTCAAGGCTGGGATATCCTCTAATGCTGCAAGACCACAGAATCCATTACCTTTTCGTCCCAGGTGGCCATGTCCCTGTTGCCTCTGGATCTGAAAAATAAAAAGACATTTGTCCAGATCTATCATCTTGCTGCCATCTGCCTTGGTATGTGCTCTGTAATCCTTTCTTACAAATTAGTTTTAAGTTAGTTTAGTTTTAACTGTGCCCGAAATTAGTGTAAAGTACAAAGTATATGTAGGAGGGCATACATCCTGGATATAGAGCCAAATGAACTGAAACAGGGACTCAAACAAATACTTATTTGTACACGAAAGTTCATAGGCTTTCACAGCATTATTCTTAAAAGCCAAAAGGTGGAAACGACCCGCTTGTCCATCAATGGATGAATGGATCAACAAAATGGGTCTGTCCACACAATGGAACGTTATTTGGCCATAAAAAGAAATGAAGGGGGCCAGGTGTGGTGGCTCACACTTGTAATCCCAGCACTTTTGGGAGGCCAAGGTGGGTGGATCACCTGAGGTCAGGAGTTTGAGACCAGCCTGGCCAACATGGTGAAAACCCGTCTCTACTAAAAATACAAAAATTAGCTGGGCATGGTGGTGGGGACCTGTAATCCCAGCTACTTCGGAGGCTGAGGCAGGAGAATCGCTTGAACCCAGGAGGCAGAGGTTGCAGTAAGCCGAGATCGTGCCACTGCACTCCAGCCTGGGCAACAGAACAAGACTCTATCTAAAAAAAAAAAAAAAAGGAAAAAAAAAAAGAGAGAGAAATAAAGTATTGATACTTATTACAATGTAGATGAACCTCAAAGATACCATGCTAAGTGAAAAAAGCCAGACATAAAATGTCACATATTGTATGATTCCATTGATATGAAATGTCCGGAACAGGATATGAAATGTCCAGAACAAGCAGATTGGTGGTTGCCAGGGGCTGGGGACAGGGAAGGATGGGGAGTGACTGCTTAATGGATTAGGGGGTTTCCTTTTGGGATGATGCAAATGTTCTGTGCAGCTAACAAGGTATTTTTTAAAAAGCAAAATGATATATTATTAATTTTAATACAAAGAAAAACAGTGAAAATGTTCTGATAGAGGTGAAGGCCGCACACTGTGAAATGTACTTAAATGCCACTGAATTATTCACTTTAAAATGGTTAGCTTTACATTATGTGAATTTCACTCCAATTGAAAAAAGACAGACATTACAGTGTTGGGGTTGCTCTGAAAAACAGTAAAACCTTCTGAACACCCACCACCAGCTATATCAGTGAATGCACCTCTGAGCAGCAGGAGCTGCTAGTGCTGTTGAGTATTCACATATGGACGTGGAAAGACGCCAGCCACAGAGCAAACAGAGGAGTCACATTACGGCAGAGTCTACAGGATGACCCCATCTAAGTCAAAAGAAATACAGATGCTTTTTTTTGGTCCGTAAGGATCACTCTTCGCAGTGGTTATCTTTGGAAGAAAAGGGAGTGATCTGGGTGTGGGGCTTTCCTTCTCTGCTTCTGGGAGGCGTGAACTTTTACAATGAGTAGGTGTTACTTTAAAACGTTATTTTTAACATAGGTGATCTATGCATGTAGTAAAAAGTTTAAATTATACAAAAAGATATTCTATGACAAGTCAGTCTCCCCTCTACCCATTATCCTTCCCAGAAGTGGTCGCTCTGACCCTCTGACCAGTTTCCTACGTCGCCTTCTGGAGTATTCTATGCCCTCACAAGCACATGAGTAGATACTCTCCCCCAACCTTTTATTTTATTTTTTTTGTAAACAAATGTGAACCCACATACTGCTGTGAACCTTATTTCCCTTCAGGGTGTGGTAGGCAAAATAATGCTCCCCTTCAAAGATGCACATACCCTAATCCTTGAACTTGTATATTACTTTACATAGCAAAAAGGATTTTGCAGACATGATTAAGTTGCAGCTCTCAAGATGGAGGGAATGATTTTGGATTATCCTAGTGGACCCAATGTCATCAGAGGGGTCTTTGATAAGTGGAGGCAGGAGAAAGAAGAGATTGTGAGGACAGAAGCAGAGGCTGGAGTCAGAAAGATCTGAAGATTCAGTGCTTTAAAGATGGAGGATGGGGCCTCAATCCAAGGCATGTGGGCCCCTCTAGAAGTTGGGAAGGCAAGCAAACAGATTCTCCCCCAGAGCCTGCAGCAGCAACACAGCCCTGCCCATACCTTGACTCGAGCCCACTGAGACCGATTGTGGACTTTTGACTTCCAGAACTGTAGCATAATAAATGTGTGTTATCTTAAGCTGCCAAGCTTGTGGCCATTTGTTACAGCAGCCACAGAAGACTAACACAGTATCTCAGAGGTGGTTCTATGCCAGTGTGTCCTGTATGAAGTGCACGCCTTGTCATGGCTGCACATGAGTCCCCTGTAGGAATGTGTTTAATCCTACTAGTGATGGACATTTACGGTTGTTTCCAATCTCCTCCCACCCCAGCGCTTCCATAAATAACCCTGCACACCCTTTTTTTTTTGTTGTTGTTGTTTTGTTTTGTTTTGGAGTTGGGGTCTCACTCTGTCACCCTGGCTAGAATGCAGTGGTGCGATCAGAGCTCACTGCAGCCTCAAGATCCTGGACTCAAGCGATCCTCCCACCTCAACCTCCCGAGTAGCTGGGACTATAGGCACACACTACCAAGTCCAGCTAATTTTTGTAGAAAGGGGGGTCTCACTATGTTATCCAGGCTGGTCTCAAACTCCTGAGTTCAAGTGATCCTCCTGCCTCAGCCTCCCATGGTGTTAGTATAATAGGCATGAGCCATTGCACCTGATCCCTCTATGTAACTTCTATAATTTTTTTTTTCCCCTGAGACAGAGTCTCGTTCTGTTGCCTAGGCTGGAATGCAGTGGTATGATCTCGGCTCACTGCAACCTCTGTCTCCCAGGTTCAAGCGATTCTCCTGCTTCAGCCTCCTGAGTAGCTGGGATTATAAGTGCCCACCACCACGCCCAGCTAAAATTTTTTTTTGTATTTTTAGTAGAGACGGGGTTTTGCCACGTTAGCCAGGCTGGTCTCAGACTCCTGACCTCAAGTGATCCGTTGCCTCAGCCTCCTAAAGTGCTGGAATTACAGGCATGAGCCACCGTGCCTGGCCTAATTCTAAAAAATTATTTTGAAATAAACTTTCAAGAAAACTTTAAAGAGGTTCTTTCTCTCCCCACAGTTACATGCTGAGGGTGCAAGGGACTCTTAGACTTTCTCGCTGGTTGACTGGCAGAGCAACTTCTGGACCCAGCAGAGTTCAGCTTTGCATGTCCCTATACCAGCCCCCTGGGATTCTCAACCTGCTCTCACGAGAGGGGCTCAAGTGGAACCATCACCACAAGAGGAGGTGAAGGGAAAAATTAAGGTGCCCTGGAGATTTCCTACCTTTGCAAGACAGGAGCTAGAACTAGCACACACGCAGAGGAACACTCAGCTTCAGCAATTCAAGCAACAGAAACTTTAAAACTACCATGCCCTTCTCCATTAAACTAGCCAAAACAAATAAAAAGGATAAAAACCAATGCTTGCAGAGCTGCAGAGAAATGTGCACACATTCCTGGGGATGATTTTTCTAAATAGCTACCTGGTCACAAGAGGTAAGTGCTTCCAAAATGATCCCACCCTTGACTTGCACACCTTGGTTAGGAAACTGTATCTCCAAGAAGCCATTTGATAGCCAAAAACATGCACAATATGGACAATGATATTTATAGCTAAGTTGAATAGTATGGCTAAAACCTGGAAGTGGCCCTCAACCCCCAAGCCCTACTTTAGGGAAAAGCTGAGGAAGGCAGTGGGCTCTTGGGAGGGATAATTCTGAAGTCTATGTAGAAACGGGAGAAAAAATGCTGTCAAGCAGTGAGAAGAAAAATAGGCTGATGGCTGACACATTGCCTGCAACTGTACAAAACTATCTGAGCCATTCCTAGGTGCCAGGCACTGATTTCCCAGGTTCTGGGAAATCCAAGGTGAAGAGGAAAGGGCAAGATCACGATCCTGGTAGACTGACATGTTACCTGGGGAGACAAACAAGGAAGCAAGGAAATATACAAGACAGACCACACCCCCCCCCCCCAGCTAAGCACTGGGAAGCCAGCCAGCCAGAGTAAGGGGCCAGGGAGCAGGCGGGGTCTCCTTAAGTGGGGTGGTCAGGGACAACTCGACATTTATGGTGTGCCCTGAATTACAAGGGAGTATGTCACAGATTGCAGAGAAGAGCATTCCCGGGAAAAGGAAGAACACGTGTGCTGTGCACAGCCCCTGAGAGAGCGGAGTACTTAGGAGGTGGCGGCTGGGGACAGCAGTGGACAGGACAGTGGCCAGAGAGAAAAATTGAGAATAATCACACAGGGCCTGATCATGGAGAGGGCTTGGCAGGCGATGCTGGGGATTTGGATGGAAGTGAGGGGTCCAGCGTGATGAGGCGGCAAGAGATGCTGGCGGCCTGGTCTCAGGGTGGAAGTAGGGGGTGGAGGGGTGGCCGGATTCAGGATATGCTTTGGGTTAGAACTTGTCGCTAGCCTAGACTGTGGGGAAGGGACGAGGAGCGGGGTGGTGGATGACAGCTCCCAGGGCCCAAGCCCCAATGACTAGCAAAGGATCAAGTCTGGGGACAAGAACACTCTGGCTTTCTCCTTCTTGCTAAACCTGTGTCGGGGAGGGCAGGGGCCACAGAGCAGCTCTGGACCTTGTGCAAGCCTCAGCCCAGAGATTTTCAAAACCCTGCCCTTATCAGCCTTTCCCTCTGGGGAGTCAGCCAGAGAAGTTGCCACCCCCTCACCTTGGTCTTACTCAAGCAGCTCCTAGTTGCTGGTGGGGCTGTCCGGAAATCCTGCAGATCTCAGATAGCCCTGAACAACCTGAAGTTAAAGGTGCCCAGGACAGAGAAGTACTCTCAGAGGGGCAGGACGGAGGGTGGAGGAAGCACTGGAACCATGAACTTTTGGTAGTAACCTGGTGCCAGGGGCTAAGCCTGTACACCAAGCATCTTATATCATCTTCTCAGCAATCCTGCGAGGTAGGTACATGCTTAACCTCATGGGACAGATGCGGAAACTGAGGCAGAGACAGGCCAAGTCACGAAGCTGAGCCTGCAAGATCCCCCACACCCAGCACTGGTAAAAGTGGTGGGGGCAATGTTGGAGGGAGTTCCACTGAGGAACTGCTCTCCCCTCTCTGTCTTGGCGTTTACCCTGGCCCCAATCACTCTTGTTCCTCAGCATCTCTGTCTCCAACAGGTGGGTGCTTTTAAAGTGTTTCTAGGGAAGAGTTTGCTTCCCCGGGGCTCCTCCTTCAGGGATGGCTGGGCCTGCTCATTGCAGCCTTCTCCCGGGACATCCAGCACTGCCTCTGCCCCTGCTTCTCTCCTACAATCTCCCGGGAGGGCAGCGGGGCAGGGACGATGCATCCGAGGACTTAGGGGACACAGACCTGGTTGTGAGTTCTGGCTCTGCCTCCTTTGGCTGTGTGACCCAAGGCAAGGGGCTTGGCCTCTCTGCGTCTTGGTTTCTTCACCTGTTAAGAGGGAGACGACGATGGTCACCTGTGGCTGCTGCGCGGAGTGTGAAGAACTGAAGGCACCTGGCCCAGGGCGGCGCGCACCACCAACTCTCCGGGATCGGGGGGTCACTAGGGCCAGCGTCTCCCGCGTTCCCCTCCCCTGGACTCCAGTCCCTGCCGAGGGGAAGCACTGCCCGCCCGCGCCGGGACACGCCAGAGCCGAGGGCAACCGAGGGCTGGGGTCCTGCTGGGGCTCCACGGCGAGGCCTGGACAGCGGAGATGCGGGGGGGGGTCCCCTCTTCTCGGAAGGATCGGGCACTGGGGGTCTTGTAGAAAGGGCTGCACGCCAAACGGGGTACGCCCCCCGCCCGGCCCGAGCACTTACCCGGCGCCCCACCCGCCCGCGGTCACCGCTGCGACTGGGAGCCTCAGAGCAGGTCCGGCCCAGCCCGTCCCGCCCCGTACCGTACCAGGCCCCGCCCCCGCCCGGGCCGCCCCCGCCCCCGTCCCCGCCCCCACAGCCCGCAGACCCCCAACGGTCGGCGGGCTTCTAGGCCTCGGCCCGGGTCTTAGTCCCCTTGTCCCTGCCTGTGGTCAGTCCACCCGTTCGTCCCTACCTCCCTCACCCCGGCTGCCTCCCGCCCCGCAGGGTGGGCCTGTCCTGGGCCTCCCGCAGTTACAAAGGTCCCGCCCGTGGGAGCGAATCGCGGATCACAAAAATCCTGCCCCGGGCCAGCCTAAGGGAAGGGTGGGCGGGGGAACCACTTCCTTCCTCCGCCGGCTGGAGCGGGGCGAATCCACCCCGCCAACCCCTTTCGGGGAGCTTCTGCTCCATCCCACCGTCTCCGGGCCACCCCTGCCTCTGGGTCTCCTGATTCCTTGGCCTCGTCCCCTGCACAGTTTCTGCCATGCAGGGGTGGAGGGTGGGCAGCACGCTCTGACGAATGAGCAACCTCTCAGCCCTCAGAACTTCCCTTGGTCGAGGGCTCTGAGGCTGCTCATGGGATGGTACTGGCAAGAGGGAGCCTTACCGCGTGCAGCCCCTGCCTGTCCTGGGCCGCCTTGCTCCGGGCCAACTCGTACGGCCCCGCAGGCGCAGGCCCAGCTCTGAAGTCCCTCCCCTGTGGGCCCTCCCAGCACCCTGTTCACACAGTCGAATCAGTTCTGTTAGCTTCTGTCTTCCCCCAGAGACCATTTGTCCCAAACATCCTGCAAAGCCGTCTTCTGCACACCTCTCCCTTCCGGTTGAGTCGGGGCTGTGGGGAGAGGCTCACCTCCTTGGGGTTGTGTTAGTTTCCTCATGCCGCTGTTAACAGATCACCACAAACCTAGTGGCTTAACACAAATGTGTTATCTTACAGCCCTGGAGGCCAGAAGTCTCAGATGGGTCCTACAGGGCCAGAATCAAGGTGTGGGTGGGGCTGTGCCTTCTGGAGGCGCCAGGGTAGTGTGTTCCTTGCTTTTCCCGGCTGGAGAGGTGCCTGTGATCCTTGGCTGTCTCAATCCGACCTCTGCCTCCATGGTCACAGCGTCTTCTCCCTTCTAAGGAGCCCTGTGATTATATGGGATCCACCTGGATAATCCAGGCTAATCTCTCCAGCTCAGGATCCTTCACATAGCCACATGTGCAAAGTCCCCTTTGCCACTTAAGGCAACATACAGGTTTGGAGGGGTTAGGATGTGGATATCTTGGTAGGGGGGTGCATTCTTCTGCCTCCCATAGGGGTATTGTCTGCTTCAACTGACTCGGCTTTCCCCAATTCTGCTGGGCAGCTGGCTTTCTTTTCTTTTTTCTTTTTTTTGGAACGGAGTCTCACTGTCGTCCAGCCTGGAGTGCAGTGGTGCGATCTTGGCTTACTGCAACCTCCGCCTCCTGGGTTCAAGCAATTCTCCTGCCTCAAGCCTCCCGAGTAGCTATGATTACAGGCCAGCATCACCATGCCTGACTAATTTTTGTATTTTTAGTAGAGACGGGGTTTTACCATGTGGGTCAGACTGGTCTCGAACTCCTGACCTCAAGTGATCTGCCTGCCTTGGCCTCCGAAGGTGCTGGGATTACAGGTGTGAGCCACTCCACCCGGCAACAGTCTCACTCTGTGGCCCAGGCTGGGGTGCAATGGCATGATCTTGGCTCAGTGCAACCTCTGCCTCCTGAGTTCAAGCAATTCTCCTGCCTCAGCTTCCTGAGTAGCTGGGATTACAGGTGCCTGCCACCACGCCTGGCTAATTTTTGTTTTTTTAGTAGAGACAGGGTTTCTCCATGCTGGTCAGGCTGGTCTCGAACTTCTGACCTCAAGTGATCCGCCTGCCTCGGCCTCCCAAAGTGCTGGGATTACAGGCGTGAAACACCATGCCTGGACTGCAGCAGGCTTTCTTTTTTCTTTTTGAGGTGGAGTCGCGCTCTGTCACCCAGGCTGGAGTGCAGTGGCGCGACCTCGGCTCACTGCAAGCTCCGCCTCCCAGGTTCATGCCATTCTCCTGCCCCAGCCTCCTGAGTAGCTGGGACTACAGGCGCCCGCCACCACGCTCGGTTAAATGTTTTGTATTTTTAGTAGAGACGGGGTTTCACCGTGTTAACCAGGATGGTCTCGATCTCCTGACCTCGTGCTCCGTCCTCCTCGGCCTCCCAAAGTGCTGGGATTACAGGCGTGAGCCACCGCGTCTGGCCAGAAGGCTTTCTTAAAAACATTTTGGTCAGATCTCCTGACTTCTCAGTCATGTATTATTACAACAGCCCCATGCCAGTTTCTAAGGCATAGTCTGGTCCATTTTCAACTTCAACTTCCTTATATTTTATTAAAAATTCTCCTCCTCCCCCAGGGCCAGCTAGACAGAGTGGAGAGGATGTGGGGACTGCTCCCAACAGCCCCTCCTCTGTGTTCACTCCCCTCTGGTTGAGGAAGGGAAAAGGGAACAAGTACCCCGTCCCCTAGTTGCACACCTGGAAGTTGCAGCCCTCTGTCTTAACATCTGGTCTTGCCTGTAGTTAGACCCTTAGTGCAGACAGGTGGTGACCTCAACAGACCCTGCTAAGGCAAGGCAAGGCTCAAACCCTGGCCTGGCTTGATCCCCTGGCTACCTTCCCCCATCCCTTCCCCTACAGAGGCATCGCTCAGTCTTCTCCCTGGGTACTTGCCTCTGCTCCACGGTGCAGTGGTCCAGTCTGCAGCCCCCAACCTTACTGATGGCCTGGAACCTGGGGCCACCAGCAGGGACCTATGTCCATACTTTTTGGGAACCAGGATCCCAAAGGAACACTTCAGCAAGTCTGGAGAATTTGGTGATATTCTCAGCATTGTCGTGTTTACTGAAATACTGCTACTGCTCAGGCATTTCAGTGGACAGGAAAAGATCTCAAATGTGTTACACTGTTATCCCCAGGCACAGGATTTGACCTGCAGTAGGTACTTTACATTCCTATTGCATAAATTAATGAGTATTGAGCATAATAAGATTGGGGTGCCCTCCATCATTGCTACTATTCAACATTTCACTGATGAGCTCAGTCAATGCAATAAAACAAGAAAAAAGAAATACAAAGACTGAAAAGAGAAAGACTATTATTTGCAATCGATGTGATTGTCTACCTAGAAAATCCAAAAGACCTAACAGACTAACACGTGACCACCTACTGTGTGGTAGGCCCTTTCAAGGTACTAAGTATAAGATGAAGGAACAGCCTTTGTTCTTAGTGAGCTCCCATTTTAGTTGGGAAAGTGAGGCCAACAATACTTAAAGGAGAAGGCCGGGCATGGTGGCTCACACCTGTAGTCTGAGCACTTTGGGAGGCTGAGGCGGGAGGACTGCTTGAGCCCAGGAGTTCAAGATGAGCCTTGGTGACAGAACAGTACCCCATTTCTATAAAAAATGTTTTAAAAAATTAGCTGGGCATGGTGGTGTGCCCCTGTAGTCCCAGCTACTCAGGAGGCTGAGGTGGGAGAATCCCTTGAGCCCAGGAGTTCGAGGCTGCAGTGAGCTACGATTGCACCACAGCACTCCAGCCTGGGTGACAGAGCAAGACCCTGTCTCTTAAAAAACAAAAACAAAAACAAAAACAAAACAACTTAGGGAAGAGTAAGCTGAGGTCCACAGAAAGAATCCAGGAGGTCTATTAACTTGGGTGGGAAAAAAATTCTTTATTTTCATTAACCTCTAACTGAAACGTATTATTACTTTGTTTGTTTGTTTAGAGACAGGGTCTCACTTTGTTGCTCAGGCTGGAATGCAGTGGCTCGAGCACAGCTCACTGCAGCCTCAAACTCCCAGGCTCAAGTGATACCCCTGTCTCAGCCTCCCAAGTAGCTGGGACTACAGGCACATGCTACTGTACCCAGCTAATTTATTATTTATTTATTTTTATTTTTTGTAGAGATGGGGTCTTGCTTTGTTTCCCAGGCTGGTCTCAAACTCCTGGCTTCAAGCAATCCTCCGGCCTCAGCCTCCCCAAATTTTTTTTTTTAAATTGGGATAATAGACATGAGCCACTGGCCTTTAACTGAAATTTAATATTTCCTTCAATTATGAATGTAGGTAACAAATTACAGTTGCATTACAAACGTCACTAACTGGCCAGGCGCGGTGGCTCATGCCTGTAATCCCAGCACTTTGGGAGGCTGAGGCCGGTGGATCACCTGAGGTCAGGAGTTTAAGACCAGCCTGGCCAACATGGTGAAACCCTGTCTCTACTAAAAAATACAAAATTAGCCGGGTGTGGTAGCGCATGCCTGTAATCCCAGCTACTTGGGAAGCTGAGGCAGAAGAATCGCTTGAACCCGGGAGGTGGAGGTTGCAGTGAACTGAGATCACGCCACTGCACTCCAGCCTGGGCAACAAGAGTGAAACTCCATCTCAAAAGAAAAAAAAAACGGAAAAAAAAACCCACTAACTTTGTCATCAGTCAAAATCACAGATGTTTTTAAACCACAGTATAGTTATTGGAGATATCTCAAAATATAACTTATATGTATCATTACTTCAAAATTATAGTAGTTACTGAGCCAGCTGTTCTTATAGTTTAATGTGTACTATAAGAACTCCATCTATTTATTACAAGTAAAAAAAAATTCAAAACTTCAATGCAAGATAGCTGGCATCATTTGTAATACGATGCATTCGTTCTGTTTTATGCATTGAAAAACATTACTCTTGGAAGAGGTCCAGAAGCTTCCCCAGATGTCAAAGGCCCCAGATTACAAAAAGATTAGGAACTGCGTTAGATGAAGGACTTGTTCCGGTTTGGGCAATACCAAAGCAGTTCTCTTACACAAGGCAGTCCTTGCCCCACCCCCGGTCCTCCGCATTTCTTACCAAGCAGTGAGCCCAGCTTGCTTGAATTTTCTGGGTGTCCTGCCTTTTGATGTTCATGGAGCGTGTACTTACTTATTTAGGGATGGGGTCTTGCTCTGTCACCCAGGCTGGAGTGCAGTGGTGCAATCACTACCCACTTCGGCCTTGACCACCTGGACTCAAACTATCCTCCCATCTTAGCCTCCTGGGTACCTGGGACCACAGGCATGCATCACCACACCTGGCTAATTTTTATTTTTTTGTGGAGACAGGGTCTCACTATGTTGCCTAGGCTAGTCTCAAGCTCCTAGGCTCAAGGGATCCTCCCGCCTTGGTCTCTCAAAGTGCTGGGATTCTAGGCATGAGCCACCGCGCCTGGCCACATGGAGCATTTTGAGGAAGATCTGAGTACAGCCCTGGGGGACTGGGCCATCCCTGGGCTCCAGGACAGCTGGGGCCGGGCCAGGGCAGTGGCCAGCTCTGGCTTTCCCCAGCGGGAAGAGAGAGGGCTGCCTCTGCTGGTTTTGGTTCCTCCAAGGCAGTTATCAACGGCTACAGTTGACCACTTCCCTTCCTAGGGCAAAAGCCCTGTCCTGGCTCTGGTAGAGTGTGAGAAAATGGACAGAGGGAGAGAAAAGTAGATGAGTTCTCAGCCAGAGACAGGGTGGGGGTTCTGCTGGGATTTCTTAGAGTGACATCTGTTGTTTAGGCCCAGAGGTGCCTTTCCCAGCAGATAAGATTTATCTACAGCAGTGACGGCCACACGACGGGATCTGCACAAGGCCTGGGCACCGATGCCTGATGACGCAGCTATGTGAAAAGGGCACGGTCACCTCCAACTCTCTTCTCTGGCACTCGGCTCAGCCTTCTGCCTCACAGTTCAGAGTCACACAGAAGAGTAGGAAGAACACAGGCATTGCATCAAAGAGGCCTGGGTGTAAATCCTGCCTCAATGGTTTCCCTTGCCCGCTGGGTGATCTGTCATCAATTCAGCAAAGAGTTTCTGAGTGCCAACTATGTGCTAGGCAGAGAACACAGAGTTGAGTAAGACAGGCAGGTCCTGCCTGCCCTCATTAAACTTAGTCTATATAGGGAGGCACACAAATACTAAACGACAAATTACAAAGTGATAAGCATTGAAAAGGGGGCTGGGTGCGGGGGCTCACGCCTGCAATCCCAGCACTTTGGGAGGTTGAAGCAGGCAGATCACTTGAGGCCAGGAGTTCAAAACCAGCCTGGGAAACATAGTGAGACTCTGTCTCTACATACATATATGTATATACACACACACACATATATATACACACACACACACTTATATATAAACATTTCTATAATTATAATTGTATAATTATAATTGTATAATTACATATATTTTGTTTATTTTGTGTACACACACACACACACACACACACACACACATGACCTAGCCAGGTGTGGTGGTGCATGCCTGTATTCCCAGCTACTCAGGAGGCTGAGGCCAGAGGATTGCTTGAGTCTGGGAGGTCAAGGCTGCAGTGAGATGTGATCACGCCACTGCACTCCAGCCTGGGTGACAGAGTGGGACCCTGTCTTGAAAACAATGAAGTATTGCAAAGGAATGAGCTGGGGGTTGTGGTGGAGATAACAAAAGGTGGAGACTGAGATGCAGATCCACTGAGGCAGGACAGCAGGGAAGGGGTCTCTGAGGAGGTGACATTTAAACGGACACTGAAAGCTGAAGTAGAAGCAGCTATGAAGAGAGAGGGACAACCTTTTCAGAAGAGAGAACAGCATGTGCGAAGGGCCTGAGGTGGGAAGAGCTTGGCCTTATGAGGCCAAAAGGAGGCCAAGATTGTGGATGCACAGAGGAGGGTGAAGAGAGTCATAAGAAGTAAGGCTGGGGAGGAGGCCGGAGGCCCACAGAAGGGGCTGGAGTCCATGTGGAGCACAGGAAGCCATGGGAGTTCTAAGCAGGGGAGGGATCGTTTGATTTTTTTTTTTTTTTTTGAGATGGAGTTTCATTCTTGTCGCCCAGGCTGGAGTGCAATGGCGCGATCTCAGCTCACTGCAACCTCTGCCTCCCAGGTTCAAGCGATTCTCCTGCCTCAGCCTCCTGAGTAGCTGGGATTACAGGAGCCCGCCACCATGCTCAGCTAATTTTTTTTTTTTTCAGTTGAGATGGGGTTTTGTCATGTTGCCCAGGCAGGTCTCGAACTCCTGACCTCAGGTGATCTGCCCACCTTGACCTCCCAAAATGCTGGGATTACAGGTGTGAGCCACTGTGCCCGGCCAGGACCATTTGATTTTTTACAAAAAATGTAGTAAAATACACATAACATAAACGTTACCATTTTACCCATTATCAAGCATACGGCTGGTGGCATTTAGTACATTCACAATGTTGTGCAAGCTGCACTGCTATCTAGTTCCAGAACCTTTTCATTATCTCAAAAGGAAACACTGTCAAAGGCCCCGTACATAGTGGCATGCACCTGGAATCCCAATCACTTTGGAGGCTGAGGCAGGAGGATTGCTTGAGCCCAGGAGGTGGAGACCAGCCTGGGCAACATAGCAAGACCCCATCTCTAAGAAAAAAAAAAAGGAAACCCTGTACCCATGAAGCAGTTCCTCCCATTCCTGTCTCCCTCCAGCCCTAAGAACCTGCTAGTCTACTTTCTGTCTCCATGGATTTGCCTGCTTTAAATGGAATATCATCATATATGGTCTTTTGCGTCTGGTGTCATTCATTGAGCACAATGTTTTCAAGCGTCATCCATGTTGTAGCATGGTCCTTCATTCCTTTTATGGCCAAAGAATATTCCACTATATGGGTCTACCACATGTTGCTTATCCTTCCATCCACTGATATGGTTTGATTAAAAAAGATAACTCTGGTTTATATAATAAACCAGATAAATCTGGGATTAGATTATAGGGAAGATAAAAATGGAAGTGTAGAGGAGAGATAAGGATGGCTTGGACAAGTCGGTTGGGAGTAGGGAAGGAAAAAGGGGCATGATTCCAGATCCATGTGGGAGACAGAAAAGACAGGGGGGAACTGTGGGTGGCATGGACATGTAGGGGAGAGGAAGGGGCAGAGCACCGGAGTGCACTGTGGTGCCCTCCATCAAGCAGAGAAGCCTGGGAGGGGGCCAGGTGGAGGATGTCCCCATTTTTGATAATGTTTTATTTGAATTGTCAAAGTGGAGGTGTCACCTGGGCAGTAGGATCTGAGTCAGGAATTTGGCAGAGAGGCTTGGGCGTCATCAGTGCACAACTGGTATTGACAACAAGGCCTGGGCTGTGATCCCCTTCCAGAGTGTTGACAAAGGGGTTCAGGACCAAGCTAGGGCCTGGGCAGGTGAGGAAGAGGCTGCAAAGGAGACAGAAAGAGTAGCCAAGAGGTAGAAGGAAAAACCAAGGGTGTGTGGGATCCTGGAAACCAAAAGAGGAGCGTTTTGAGGAAGAGGAAGGAATAAGTGGTGTCAGATGGAAACTGATAGGGTGAACAGCGCAGAGAGGGAGAGAGTGGAAAGGAGATACAAAAGCACTTGAAGGGAGCAGAGAAATGGGAGGACAGCTGGAGGGGCCCACACTGGAGTCCCCCCAAGACTAGCATAGCACCTGGAATGCAAGAACACCCATTGATTCAGTTCTTACTATATGCCACTCACAGCGCGAAGCATCTTTTTTTTTTTTTTTTTTTGAGATGGAGTCTTGCTATGTCGCCCAGGCTGCAGTGCGGTGGCACGATCTCAGCTCACTGCAACCTCCGTCTCCCAGGTTCAAGCGATTCTCCTGCCTCAGCCCTGCCTAGTACCTGGGATTACAGGTGCACACCACCACGCCTGGCTAATTTTTGTATTTTTAGTAGAGATGGGGTTTCACCATATTGGCTAGACTGGTCTCGAACTCCTGACCTCGTGATCTGCCCACCTCGGCCTCCCAAAGTGCTGGGATTACAGGCATAAGCCACTGTGTCTGGCCGTTAAGCATCTTGTCTCCATTTCACAGCTAAGGCTGAGACTCAGAGAATTATTCACAAGGCCACACAGCTGGTAAGAGGCAGAGCTAGAACATGAACCTGGCTCCCAATACAGGATTCTCAGTGGGCTCCTTCTCTGCCCGCAGAGACAGAGGGGGTGCTGCTACTGTTCGTGGGTCAAGTTCTCCAGTCCTTTAGGATCTTTCTTGTCTGCTTTGTATTATTATTTTTTTGTTGAGTCAGGGTCTCACTATGTTGCCCAGGCTGGTCTTGAACTCCTAGCTTCAAGCGATCCTCCCGTCTTGGCCTCCTAAAGTGTTGGGATTACAGGCGTGAGCCTCTATGCCCAGCCTTTCCTGTCTGTTGAAGTCGGTGAGACTTAACATTGGGAAGATGGAGGCAGAAGACACTAGAAATATGCTCTAACTCACTTTAGTGAGCAGAGCCTTACACTCAAGGGTTTAGCAGCATCTCCTTGTTCCACCTGCTGGTTGCTAGTGGAAAGTGCTCTCCACACCTCGGTTCCGCCCTCCAGGCCAACTAGAGGCTTCCGCAGCCGCTGCAGCACTGGAGCAGAGCCGAGGTGGGAGGACTCCTGGCTTCTCCACCACCGGAGTCTACATTGAACTCCCTCGCACCCCTTGCAGTTACCTGTTGCAGCAGAGGTCATGTGATCATCAAATGCTCTGGCCAGGGGGACCCGAGCACTGTCTGCAGGGACTTCCAGGAGTTTCCTCCTCCTGCGTCTCCTTCCTCTGGACAAGGCCCAGTGCTGAGTCACTCCGTCCACTGGCCCTGGGCAGCCCCCGCTTCCCTCCTTCCGTTTTTGAGAGGAGTGGACCTGTTTACTCATTGTTGGGTCAGGGAGTCTGGTGCTTACTGTCAAGAACACACAGCCAGCCGGGCACGGTGGCTCACGCCTGTAATCCCAACGCTTTGGGAGGCCAAGGTGGGCAGATCACTTGAGGCCAGGAGTTCGAGACCAACCTGGCCAACATGGCAAAACCCCATCTCTACTAAAAATACAAAAATTAGCCGGGCATGGTGGTGTGCATCTGTAATCCCAGCCAGTCGGGAGGCTGAGGCAGAAGAATCACGTGAACCCGGGAGGTGGAGGTTGCAGTGAGCTGAGATTGCTCCACTGCACTCCAGCCTGAGCAACAGAGTGAGACTCCATCTCAAAACAAGCAAACAAACAAAACACTTACAGACTTGGCCAGACTTGACCTTTGCTGGGATTTGCTGGGCTTTGCTGGGCTTTGCTGGGTCTTGGCTGCAGCCCAGGGCACATTTCGTGTTCTCGGCACACTCGCTGGGTCCCTGGTGGAACTGCTCATCCAGGCATCCCCCTCTTCCTGCCAAGGGGTGGGCCTGGAACGGGAGCCAATGGGAGAGAGACAGAGCCATGGCGAATGGCCACATGCACTCCTGTTGGGGTGGGCTCCTGCAGCAGAGAAGCTCCCAGGCCCCCCACCCAAGCCAGGGTTTCTAGGCCTCCGTCATTCTATGGGGGCCCCACTGCCTTCCAGCCGTCTCCTGTTTGCTCCAGTCAGCCTGAACTGGTTTTGTTGTCTGCAGCCTAGGAGCCCAGTCCAGGAGCTGAGGGAGAGACAGAGAAGACGAGGTCCTTTCTGGTAAGGGACACACTCGAAGTGCGGGAGGCAGAGCCGAGAACAGCCAGATCGAATGTGAGGCTGAAGAGTGAAATGGCCAGTGATGATGATAACGGGGAGATAACAGCGCCGCTGCCCCTCCTCTCCTGGCCGTGTGCCAGGCGCTGCGCCGGGCACATGATACACATCTCTTCTTCTAGTCTTCACAATGGCCATGAGGTAGGCCCTCCGATGAGTTAGGATTATGTTCTGCGCAGTAGAAAGTCCTAAATATCAGTGGCTTAAACAAGCCAGCGCTATTTCTCATGCCACAGGCTGGAGGCATGAAGTCCAGGGCTGTAAGTTGCCTCCGTTCCACAAGGTGGCAGGGACCCCCCGCTCTGCCAGGCCTAAGGGCCTTCTTCCTCCTGGTCCAAGAGGGCAGCATCTGCATTTCAGGCAGGAGGACCCAGGAGGGGGCGAACAAGATTGGGACCATAGACACGTGCCGGCCACCTCTCCGAGGAATTGCCCAGAGTGGCCACACGACACTGCTGCTCCCAGCCCGTGGGCAGCACTTAGTCCCATGAACAAAGGAGACAGGAATTGTGGCCTTTATTTAGGGCACCACATGCTAAGCTAAAAAGTCTGCGATTGTTGAAGAAGTGGAGAAGAGATCTTTGGGAACCTGCCAGTTATGGTACAGATAAGAAAGACAAGGCTCAGAGAAGTGAAGCTGTTTGTCCTTGTCGCCCAGCCATGAAGCGGCAGGGTAGGACTCCAATGGGACTTAAACTCTGAATCACACAGAGGACAGCAAAATCGCAGGGAGCCAGAGGAGGCCTTTGGGGCAGTGGCGTTTAAGCTGGGTCTCCTGGGCTAGGAAAAGGGGAGAAAGGACATCGAAGCAGCCAAGTTGTAGAAGAGTGAGTATCTTTTGAAGAAAACCGCTTATCTCGGGGTGGCATTTCTGGGCCACTGCCTGACTATCTCCAGCAATGGGGAGTTCACTTTCTGTGAGGCAACTCATTGTACTTGGGAATATTTCGATCTCTCTCTCTCTTTTTTTGTTTGACAGGGTCTCACTCTGTTGTCCAGGCTGGAGTGCAGTGATGCGATTATGGCTCACTGCAGCCTTGACCTCCTGGGCTCAAGTGATCCTCCCGCCTCAGCCTCCCAAAGTGCTGGGATTACAGGCATGAGCCACCACACCCGGTCTACTTGGAGATATTTATAATTGGAGTTTTCCCTCAGAGAGTGTGACTGCTGTCTTCTGTTTTTCCCTGCTCGGCATCTCTTGCCCTTCTTCTGGTACCATCGACTGTCCGATAATTTCAGTCCAGGTGGTTTGAGAGGCTGACCTAACCAGGCTAGTGGGGCTCAAGAGTGGAACTCCAGCTGGAACTCTTAGTGGAGAAGTCTCAGCTGGGACTACTATTTGCAAGGATGGATGGGCCCAGCCCCATGGGGCATCACATGGGGAAGGCCCGCCTGGAAGTTAGACCAACACAGAGCAGAGAGCAGGGCCACAGGATGGAGAAACAGAGGCCGCATCTGGTCTCACTGAGGCCTTGTATCCAGCTGCGCCCAGTGCTACCCTGGACATGTTAGTTGTACAAGCCAGCAGATTCCCTCTGCGCTACGGCCAGTTTGTTTCTGTCACTTTCACCTGAAGAGCGCTGACTAATGGAGGTAGAGCGCTCCAGCCTGTTTTTATCACCATCTAGAGGGAGCTGGGGAACACCTGTGTGTTTTATAAAACTACTAGGGCCTAGAGCAGTGTTTTTCCAAGTGCAGGCCACAAAAAAACAATACCAGCATCACTCTGATACTAAACTTGATGAAAATGCACATTCTTGGGCCCCAACTTCCAAATCAGAATCTTGGGCAGTGAGGCCCAGGACTCTGCATTTTGTCTAGCACTCCAGGAGATCTTCAGGGCACCCAATTTGAGAACCAGTGGCTGAATTAGGTGACCTGGGATCCAATCTAGCTCAGAGCCTGCCACCAACTTGGATATTAAAACAGGTCCCTGAGCTGGGCGAGGTGGCTCACGCCTGTAATCCCAGCACTTTGGGAGGCCAAGGTAGGCAGATCACTTGGGGTCAGGAGTTCAAGACCAGCCTGGTCAACATGGTGAAACCCCATCTCTACTAAAAATATAAAAAGTAGCTGGGCATGGTGGTGCACGCCTGTAGCTCCAGCTACTGGGGAGGCTGAGGCAGGAGAATCACTGGAACCTGGGAGGCGAAGGTTGCAGTGAGCTGAGATCGTGCCATTGCACTCCAGCCTGGGCGACAGAATGAGACTCTGTCTCAAAAACAAAACAAAACAACAAGAACAAAACAACAACAACAACAACAACAACAACAACAACAAAACACACACAGGTCCCGGTAGCTTTTCTTTTTTCTTTTTTTTTTGAGACGGAGTTTCACTCTTGTTGCCCAGGCTGGAGTGCAATGGCACGATCTTAGCTCACTGCAACCTCGCCTCCCGGGTTCAAGTGATTCTCTTGCCTCAGCCTCCCCAGTAGCTGGGGCTACAAGTGACTAAAACTTGGTCTAACACATCACAGGCACACATATATGCTTGTAAATACAAAGTAATGATCTAGAAGAAGACAGAAGAAACCAAGACTGAGGAAGTCTTGGCATCAAAATGGCCCTGGTTTCTGGTTCTAGATCAGCGCGGCTCCCCCACCCCTTCTGGTCTGGGCCTGGTGTATGTGGCCCTGAGTCAACCTTTGGTGAGCACGCAGGTACTTACCAGGGGCTTGGGGCCAAGTGGGGCCATCTGTGACACAGGGTCAGGAAGTTAGATGCTTGCAAATAAGCATTTCAGATGAGCCAGTCTACTTTCAAATGCCGTTGGGGTGAGGTAGGCAGCGTTCTCTTTGGAAAACAGGAGGGCAAGACAATACAATAAACTATTTAATTTATTATTATTATTATTATTTTTGAGACAGAGTCTTGCTCTGTCACTCAGGCTGGAGTGCAGTGGCATGATCTTGGCTCACTGCAACTGCTGCCTCCCGGGTTCAAGCAATTCTCCTGCCTCAGCCTCCCAAGTAGCTGGGATTACAGGTGTGCGCCACCATGCCTGGCTAATTTTTGTATTTTTTTTTTTTTTGAGATGGAGTTTTGCTCTTGTTGCCCAGGCTGGAGTGCAATGGCACAATCTTGGCTCACTGCAACCTCCACCTCCCGGGTTCAAGTGATTCTCCTGCCTCAGCCTCCCGAGTAGCTGGGATTACAGGCATGTGCAACCATGCCCAGCTAATTTTGTATTTTTAGTAGAAATATGGTTTCTCCATGTTGGTCAGCCTGGTCTCGAACTCCTGACCTCAGGTGATCTGCCCGCCTCGGCCTCCCAAAGTGCTGGGATTACAGGCATGAGTCACCATGCCCAGCAATTTTTGTATTTTTAGTAGAGTCAGGGTTTCACCATGTTGGCTAGGCTGGTCTTGAACTCCTGACCTCAAGTGATCCTCCTGCCTTGGCCTCCCAAAGTTCTGGGATTACAGGTGTGAGCCACCGCACCAGGCCCAGTAAACTATTTTAAAAAATGCAAGGCTTGGTGCAGTGGCTCCCAGCGCTTTGGGAGGATCATTTGAGCCCGGGAGTTTGAGACCAGCCTGGGCAACATAGTAAGGTCATGTCTCTACCAAAAAAAAAAAAAAAAAAAAAAATTAAAAATTAGCTGGATGTGCTCTGGTGCATGCTTGTAGTCCCAGCTACTTGAGAGGCTGAGGTGGGAGGATTGCCTGAGCCCTGAGGGTTGAGGCTGCAATGAGCTGTGATCCCACCACTGCCCTCCAGCTTAGAAGACAGAGTGAGATCCTGACTCTAAAAAAAAAGGAAAAAAAATTAAAAATTAAAAAAAATTTAAAAAATCATCTTGTGGCGATCCAAGCAGAAATATTTATACATAAAATGGTATCTAAGACTTCAAAATAACCATATTGGGCGAGTGCCGTGGAGATGAAACAAATTTGGCTCCAACTTGATGCCTGCTAAGGCTGAATGATAGGTATGTGGGGCTTCAGAAGTACTCTTCTACTTGTGTATATATTTGATTCTTTTTCAGAGTTAAAACAAATAAAAACGACCGCCCCACTTTGTTTATTTATTTATTTCCCCCCGCCTCTCTCTTTTTTTTTTGAGACAGAGTTTCACCTCATCGCCTAGGCTGGAGTGCAATGGCATGATCTCGGCTCACTGCAACCTCTGCCTCCCAGGTTCAAGCGATTCTCGTGTCTCAGCCTCCCAAGTAGCTGGGATTATAGGCGTGCGCCACCATGCCTGGCTAATTTTTGTATTTTTAGTAGAGATGGGGTTTCACTATGTTGGCCAGGCTTCTCTCGAACTCCTAGCCTCATGTGATCTGCCCACCTCGGCCTCCCAAAGTACTGGGATTACAGGTGTGAGTCATCACGCCTGGCCTATTTTTCTCTTTTTTAAAATGTATTGTTTCTCTTATTAAAAATTTTTTGGGACCTCTCCAGTTTGATTGACAATTTGACTGCATGAAATTTATCCAACAGAGATCACCTAAGTTGAACATGTGTACGCCTAAGTATGGGCCAGGATATTCCCTCTGGCATGATTTATAGTAGCAAACAAGGGCAAACAACCTAAAAGTCCGTCCATGGGGGGTGGTTAAATAAATGATGGTAAAGCCATACAAAGGAATATTGTGTGGCTCTTAAGAAGAAGGTAGCAATATGTACACATAATACAGAATAATCCCCAAGATTTATTATTTAGTATAGGTTAATATACTCACTTAAATAGAAATGTAGAAGTGTATACAAAAAATAGTGTGGGCCAGGCATGGTGGCTCACGCCTGTAATCACAACACTTTGGGAGGCTGATGCGGGCAGATTGCTTAAGCCCAGGAGTTTGAGACCAGCCTGGGGCAACATAGCAAGACCCTGTCTCTACCAATAATTAAAAAAAAAAAAAATTAGCCAGGTGTGGTAGTGCGTGCCTGTGGTCCCAGCTACTTGAGAGGCTGAGACGGGAGGATCACTTGAGGCCAGGAGTTGGAAGCTGCCGTGAACTATGATTGTGCCACTGCACTATAGCCTGGGCATCAGAGTGAGACCCTGCCTCTAAAAAGAATAAAGTTAAAAAACAAAAATAGAACACACCTCCCCAGGTAAACAAATGCAGGGGTAGTAGCTAAAGCACTGTCACTGTAAATGAACAGCCACACCTGGTGACTAGTAGGCCCCCAGGTATCCCCCTGGGCTGGGTTTCAGGGATGGGGCCCTGCCATTCCTTCTGGCACAATCCTAGAGCTGGCCTAGGGTCCACTGAGCTCACTTGCCTCTTTTGGCCCCGATGCAGTGGGCACTTCTCCACCTGCACATGTTCACCTCCAGGAGGCAGGCTGGGAAAGAAGCTTGTTACAAAGAACAAACGTTTCCAGGTAAACACTGTCAGCTGTGATGGCATAAAACAGGTCCCCATGTCTGATCATACGGTTTTTTTTCCCCACACACGTTTTTTCTATTGTACTTTTGGCTTCACGCTTCTCTATTTTCAATGAAGTGAAGAAGAACCTTATTTCAATAAGCTTTTTGAAAAATTAGAATCAGGGGCTGAGTTGAAAGAATAGAATGAAATAGAGCTCTACAATGTATTAATATGGGAAATCTACAAGATACAGTAAGTAATGAAAACAATGACTCGATGTCATTTGTTAGGAAGATAGGTACTTATACACGCTGGCACAAAAAACAAACAGGGACAGTTTCCTCTGGGGAGGGATCAGGGGCAAAGGGACAATTTAATTTCACATTTTAAAGTGTCTGCATTTTTGTTTTAAAAGACTGTTTTCCAGCCTGGGCAACATGGAGAGACCCTCACCTCAGGTTCGGGAGGCTGAGGTGGGGGGATTGCTTGAGCCTGGGAGGTTGAGGCTGCAGTGAGTCGTGATTGCACCACTGCACTCCAAGCCTGCGCAACAGAGCAAGACACTGTCTCAAAAAAAAAAAAAAAATTGTTTACAGTGCTTTTATGTTCATGGCAAAATTGAAAGGAAGGTACAGAGATTTCTCATATACCCTTTGCCCCCACTCCATGCATAGGAGTATTTGGATCTTTAAACCATGATTTACATGCTATAACATTTATTAAAAAATTAATTTAAAATGTTAAAATATGCTAAAAGAAAAGAAAAGAATCTGGGAGGCTGAGGTGGGAGGGTAGGAGGATCGCTTGACATCAAGGCTACCGTGAGCTGTGAGTGCACCAGGGCAATCCAGCCTGGGAGACAGAGTGAGACCCTGTTTCAAAAAGAACCAGTAATTGATTTGTTGACTGCATGAAATTACTTTCCTGGCTGGGCGCGGTGGCTCACGCCTGTAATCCCAGCACTTTGGGAGGCCGAGGCAGGTGGATCATGAGGTCAGGAGATCAAGACCATCCTGGCTAACACGGTGAAACCATGTCTCTACTAAAAACACAAAAAATTAGCCAGGCGTGATGGAGGGCGCCTGTAGTCCCAGCTACTCGGGAGGCTGAGGCAGGAGAATGGCATGAACCTGGGAGGCGGAGCTTGCAGTGAGCCGAGATCGTGCCACTGCACTCCAGCCTGGGTGACAGCGAGACTCTGCCTCAAAAAAAAAAAAAAAAAAAAAAAAAGGAAAAAAAGAAATTACTTTTCCTTCAGTTTCCTAGTTGGCTCTGTGTTACTTCTGGAAAGCTTGTGGATCTCTGTGGAACAGAATTTCCTAACTGTGCTTTTAGCAAACTATCAGCTACATGATGGTAGGGGGATGGAGTTCTTGTTTTGTTGTTACTGTGTTTTACACCTTTCATCAGTGCTACCTGGATTTGGTGGCAGGAAATAGTCAAACAATAAAAATAATACCTAATATTTGCTGCCTATTATGTGTCTGGGTTCTTTCCATGTACTAATTTATTTAGTCTCAGAGTAACCATTGATATAGATGCTGCTATCCCTATTTTTTTATTATTATTATACTTTAAGTTCTAGGGTACATGTGCACAATGTGCAGGTTTGTTACATAGGTATACATGTGCCATGTTGGCTTGCTGCACCCATCAACTCGACATTTACATTAGGTATTTCTCCTAATGCTATCCCTCCCCCAACCCCCCACCCCCCGACAGGCCCCTGTGTGTGATGTTCCCCACCCTGTGTCCATGTGTTCTCATTGTTCAACTCCCACTTACGAGTGAGAACATGCAATGTTTGGTTTTCTGTTCCTGTGTTAGTTTGTTGAGAATGATGGTTTCCAGATTCATCCATGTCCCTTCAAAGGACATGAACTCATCCTTTTTATGGCTGCATAGCATTCCATGGTGTATATGTGCCACATTTTCTTAATCCAGTCTATCATTGATGAACATTTGGGTTGGTTCCAAGTCTTTGCTATTGGGAGTAGTGCTGCAGTAAACATATGTGTGCATGTGTCTTTATAGTAGAATGATTTATAATCCTTTGGGTATATACCCAGTAATGGGATCACTGGGTCAAATGGTATTTCTAGTTCTAGATCCTTGAGGAATCGCCACACTGTCTTCCACAATGGATGAACTAATTTACAGTCCCACCAACAGTGTAAAAGTGTTCCTATTTCTCCACATCCTCTCCAGCACCTGTTGTTTCCTCACTTTTTAATGATCGCAATTCTAACTGGTGTGAGATGGTATCTCATTGTGGTTTTGATTTGCATTTCTCTGATGACCAGTGATGATGAGCATTTTTCATGCGTCTGTTGGCTGCACAAATGTCTTCTTTTGAGAAGTGTCTGTTCATATCCTTTGCTCACTTTTTGATGGGGTTTTTTCTTGTAAATTTAAGTTCTTTGTAGATTCTGGATATTAGCCCTTTGTCAGATGGGTAGATTGCAAAAATTTTCTCCCATTCTGTAGGTTGCCTGTTCACGCTGATATTTTATTTTGCTGTGCAGAAGCTCTTTAGTTTAATTAGATCCCATTTGTCTATTTTGGCTTTTTTTGTTGCCATTGTTTTTGGTGTTTTAGTCATGAAGTCTTTGCCCATGCCTATGTCCTGAATGGTATTGTCTAGGTTTTCTTCTAGGGTTTGTATGGTTTTAGATCTTACACTGAAATATTTAATCCATCTTGAGGTAATTTTTGTATAAGGTGTAAGGAAGGGATCCAGTTTCAGCTTTCTGCATATGGCTAGCCAGTTTTCCCAGCACCATTTATTAAATAGGGAATCCTTTTCCCATTTCTTGTTTTTGTCAGGTTTGTCAAAGGTCAGATGGTTGTAAATGTGTGGTGTTATTTCTGAGGCCTCTGTTCTGTTCCATTGGTCTATATATCTGTTTTGGTACCAGTACCATGCTGTTTTGGTTACTATAACCTTGTAGCATAGCTTGAAGTCAGATGCTGCTATCCCTGTTTTACAAGGGAAGCACTGAGGCACAGGGAGATTAAGGGATTTGCCCAAGGTCACACACAACCAGAATGCAAGAGTCAGGATTCCCACCTGGGCCACTGGCTGCAAACCCCAGGCTTTAACCACTGCCCAGTATGGCCTCTCAAGAGAAGCAACAGCTTCCAGAAGCTGCCCCTGTGGGCTTCTGTAGACTGGGGTGCCAGTGTAACTAGCTACATGAATCCACCAACTCACTACAGAAAGGGGTACCCTGCTTCTGTAACAGCTAGGTTGAGCTGCATAGTTTGCAGAAAACCTTAGTATAGTTTTGAGTTAGTTTCCTACTTCTTTACAACAATTGGCTCTTAAAGGAATAGAAAGCTTAAATGGAATCTCACCCATCTATCTATATTGTTTAGAAACTATTAGCAACTCAGAAAGTTCTCTCATGGCTGAAAGATATATATGACTCCAATGTTTATTCATCAAAACAAACACATGCACAATGAAAATATTACAGTTATTACCAATGGGATCTCCATTACTCTTGGCAAAACAATTTTCTCCTGAGAATTCACAACCAGGATCTGCAGGTTTGTGGCCTAATTTCATGAGACTTGTATGATCTGAAAAATGTCAAGTGGGTCTGGGCATGGTGGCTTACACCTGTAATCCCAGCACTTTGGGAGGCCAAGGTAGGCAGATTACTTGAGGTCAGGAGCTCGAGAACAGCTTGGCCAACATGGTGAAACCCCGCCTTTACTAAAAGTACAAAAATTAGCCGGGCATGGTGGCAGACACCTGTAAATCCTGCTACTTGGGAGGCTGAGACAGGAAAATTGCTTGAATCTGGGGTGGAGGTTGCAGTCAGTGAGCTGAGATCGCACCACTGCACTCCAGCTTGGGTGACAGAGCGAGAGTCCATCTCAAAAAAAAAAAAAAAAAAGAAAAGAAAAGAAAAATGTCAAGTGAGCAAGTGAGGATTTAAAGTCTAGGTTGATACTGCCCCAGTCTACCAGCAGAGGCAAACTCTGATCTTCTCTGGAGGAGCTCAACTTCAATTCAGGCCGCAGAGAATCCCATGGATAAAGATGTGAAGAAAATGGGCAACTCTGTCAAAAAATCACAACACACACAGAGAAACAACTATGAGGAACAATAGAAACAACAGATGATAGAAACATTCAGAAGAATGGCAAAACCCCCCACAAAAACACACAAATGATAGATACAAACCCACAAACACTTCAGATATTGGAATAATCAGATAGAACATAAAATAACCATGTTTATTATATTTAGAGAAATAAAACTTTTTTTTTTTTGAGACAGAGTCTCCCTCTGTTGCCCAGGCTGGAGTGCAGTATCGCGATCCCGGCTGACTACAACCTCCACCTCCCGGGTTCAAGCAGTTCTCTGCCTCAGCCTCCCGAGTAGCTGGGATTACAGGCATGTGCCACCATGCCTGACTAATTTTTTGTATTTTTAGTAGAGATGGAGTTTCACTATATTGGCCAGGTTTGTCTTGAACTCCTGATCTCATAATCCACCCACCTCGAGCTCCCAAAGTGTTGAGATTACAGGCATGAGCCATGGTGCCCGGCCAAAAAACGTCAGACCAGAAGGCCATGGGGTCAAATAATTTTTTTTTTTTGAGACGGAGTCTCACTCTGTTGCCCAGGCTGGAATGCAGTGGTGTGATCTCGGCTCACTGCAACCTTTGCCTCCCTCGTTCAAGTGATTCTCCTGCCTCAGCCTCCCCAGTAGCTGGGATTACAGGTGCCTGGCTAATTTTTGTATTTTTAGTAGAGATGGGGTTTCACTATGTTGGCTAGGCTGGTCTTGAACTCCTGACCTCAAGTGATCCACCCGACTCAGCCTCCCAAAGTGCTGGGATTACAGGCATGAGCTACTGCGCCTGGTCAAATTTTAAAAGTTTTAAAAAGATTAGCAAGAAATAATAGATAATGAAGAATGACCAAGTGGATTGTGAAAAACAAAAAACTCCAAAATAATAATAATAATAATAATAATAATAATAATAATAATAATAAAGGAAAACAAAAAACCCAATAGAACTTGAGATAAAAATGTAGTAATTAAAATTAAAAATTCAGTGCATGGATTAGATTAAGCACAACTGAAGAAAAAATTAGTAAACTAGAAGATAGAGCTGAGGACATTATCAAGAATGCAAACCATAGGGAAAGAGATGGAAAAAAACAAGATGTTAAAGTGAAATGAAAGACAGAATGAGGTCTAATACACCTCATTATATTTCCCAAAGAGAATAGGAAAAAGGGCAAAGATAACCTCTAATATTAATAATGCAAATTAAGGCCAGGTGCAGTGGCTCAGGCCTGTAATCCCAGCACTTTGGGAGGCCAAGGTGGGCGGATCACCTGAGGTCAGGAGTTTGAGCCCAGCCTGGCCAACATGGTGAAACCCTGTCGCTATTAAACATTTCAAAAATTTTCAAAACAAAAATATTTTTGTTTTGAAAAACAAAAATTAGGCTGGGTGCGGTGGCTCACACCTGTAATCCCAGCACTTTGGGAGGCCAAGGCGGGTGGATCACAAGGTCAGAAGATTGAGACCATCCTGGCTAACATGGTGAAACCCCATCTCTACTAAAAATACAAAAAATTAGCTGGGTGTGGTGGTGGGTGCCTGTAGTCCCAGCTACTCAGGAGGCTGAGGCAGGAGAATGGCATGAACCCAGGGGGCAGAGCTTGCAGTGAGCGGAGATTGCACCACTGCACTCCAGCCTGGGTGACAGAATGAGACTCTGTCTCAAAAAAAAAAAAAAAAAAAAAAAAAAAATGCTTGCTGGGTGAGGTGGCTCATGCCTGTAATCCTAGCACTTTGGGAGGCTAAGGTGGGCGGATCACTTGAGCTCAGAAATTCAAGACCAGCCTCGGCAACAAGGCAAGACCCTGTCTCTCTAAAATATAAATAAAAATGTTTAGGCCGGGCAGGATGGCTGACGTCTGTAATCCCAGCACTTTAAAAGGAGGCTGAGGCAGGTGGATCACTTGAAGCCAGGAGTTCGAGACCAGCCTGGACAACATGGTGAAACCCCGTCTCTACTAAAAATACAAAAATTAGCCAGGCATGGTGGCATGTGCCTGTAATCCCAGCTGCTCAGGAGGCTGAGGCAGGAGAATTGCTTGAACTCAGGAGGCGGAGGTTGCAGTGAGTGATGGTGCCACTGCATTCCAGCCTGGGCGACAGAGTGAGACTCTGTCTCAAAATAAAATAAATAAATAAATAAAAATTTTTAAATGCTGAAGGAAACTGTTTACAGAAATACATATATTTCTCTTTCTATGAAGCTCAAAAATTGCCTGGTACTGTGGTTTGCACCTATAATCCCAGCTACTTGGGAGCCCGAGGCAGGAAGATCTCTTGAGGCCAGGAGTTCCAGACCAGCCTAAGCAATATAGCATGACCCTGTTTCTATAAAAATAAATAAATTGGCAAAATTTAACAGTATATTGCTTAGGGATACAAACACAATGAAGAAAAGTAAGGAAGTGATTACTTTCAAATTCAAGATCATGGTTAACTCTCGAGGGAGATGGGTAAGTATGTAACTGGGGAGGTACGCACACGGGCTCTTAAGTTATTGGTAATATTCTACTTCTTAACCCAGGCGATGGGTATGTGGGTGTTTTATGTATTCTTTTGTATTAAGACATTTCATTTAAAAAATACACTAGCCAGGGGCAGTGGCTCATGCCTGTAATCCCAACACTTTGGGAGGCCGAGGCAGGAGGATCACCTGAGGTTGGGAGTTCGAGACCAGCCTGACCAACATGGAAAAAACCCCATCTGTACTAAAAATACAAAGTTAGCTGGGCGTGGTGGTGCATGCATGTGGTCCCAGCTACTTGGGAGGCCGAGGCAGGAGAATTGCTTGAACTTGCGGGACGGAGGTTGCAGTGAGCCGAGATCGCACCATTGCACTCCAGCCTGGGCAACAAGAATGAAACTCTGTCTCAAACAACAACAACAAAACAACAACAAACCATTAAAAATACAGTCACATGCCACCTAACGAGTTTTCAGTCAATGATGGACCGCATATGTGATGGTGGTCCCATAAGACTATAATACCATATTTTTACTGTAGCTTTTCTATATATTTATATATGTTTAGATACAGAAATACTTACCATTGTGTTATAATTGCCTACAGGGTCCAGTGCACGTTTGTAGCCTGGGAGCAATAGGCTCTACCGTATAGCTTATGTCATCTAGGTTTGTGTGGGGACACTATGGTGATTTGCACAATGATGAAATTGCCTAATGACATACTTCTCACAATGTATTCCCATCGTTAAGTGACACGGGACCATATATATTATATAAAATAACATATAAAATGACAATATACCTTATAGATACACACACATTGAAAAACAGACACACAGGCCGGGCGTGGTGGTTCATGCATGTCATCTCAGCACTTCGGGAGGCCAAGGTGGGTGGATGGCTTGAGGTCAGGAGTTCGAGACCAGCCTGGCAAATGTGGTGAAAACCCGTCTCAACTAAAAATACAAAAATTAGCCACGTGTGGTGGTGGGTGCCTGTAATTCCAGGTACTCGGGAGGCTGAGGCAGGAGAATCACTTGAATCCGGGAAGCGGAGGTTGCACTGAGCCAAGTTAGCACTAGTGCACTCCAGCCTGGGCGACAGAGAAACTGTCTCAAAAAAAAAAAAAAAAAAAAAAAAAAAAAAAGGGGGGGCACTGAAATCCCCTTGATGAAAAACCCTGGTCTCCTAAAGGATGCTTTGTTCAAATCTGCAAAATGCTTTTCTGATCTCCTGTGTCTGTTACCACAGTGCTAAGAAATGAAAACCAGGCTGGGCGTGGTGGCTCACACCTGTAATCCCAGCACTTTGTGAGGGCAAGGCGGGTGGAACACCTGAGGTAGGGAGTTCGAGACCAGCCTGGCCAACATGGAGAAACCCCATCTCTACTACAAAAATACAAAATTAGCCAGGCGTGGTGGCATATGCCTATAATCCCAGCTACTTGGGAGGCTGAAGCAGGAGAATTGCTTGAACTTGGGAGGTGGAGGTTGCGGTGAGCCGAGATTGCACCATTGCATTCCAGCCTGGGCAACAAGAACGAAACTCCATCTCAAAAAAAGAAAAAAGAAATGAAAACCAGCAAATAACTTGGAAAATGGTAGTTACATGTTGACTTTCTTTTTTTTTTGGAGATGTAGTGTCACTCTGTTGTCCAGGCTGGAAAGCAGTGGCATGATCTTGGCTCACTGCAACCACCACCTCCTGGGTTCAAGCAATTCTCCTGCCTCAGCCTCCTGAGTAGCTTGGACTGCAGGCACACGCTGCCACGCCCGGCTAATTATTTTGCATTTTAGTAGAGATGAGTTTCACCGTGTTGCTCAGGCTGGTTTTGAACTCTCGAGCTCAGGCAATCTGCCCACCTCGGCCTCACAAAGTGTTGGGATTACAGGCGTGAGCCACCGTGCCTGGCCATGTGTTGACTTTCTACTTGGAGAATACTTGGATTGAACTTCTTAGCTATTTGGATCTTAGACAAGGCATCACAAAATCAGGGAAGGCTCTACCTAATAAGTTGTACTAACATCTTACTAATGCTGGTCTACAAACACAGGCCTGTATGTAGCAGCCAATATTTTTCCTAGAGCGTGGTTTCAATCTTTGGAGGTGGAAGCTGTTCGGGGACAAGCAGCCCCCAGCCCCTGCTTTTAACAGAGCTGTTCTGATTTTATTCATTTTACATGAGGCCTCCAATATTATTTTGTTTGATGGGTTCCACCTGTCAAAAAAGTTCGACCAGCATTGTCTTAAGAGGAATTCTGGTTTTCTGGAGTGGAGAATGCAGATCACTTTCTCAAAACTTTCATTCTTGTGCCAGGCGCAGTGGCTCACACTTTGGGAGGCCAATGCAGGCGCATCACCTGAGGTCCAGGGGTTTGAGACCAGCCTGGCCAACATGGTGAAATCCTGTCTCTACTAAAAGTACAAAAATTAGCTCGGCGTGGTGGCGGGCACCTGTAGTTCCAGCTACTCTGGAGGCTGAGGTGGGAGAATCGTTTGAACTTGGGAGGTGGAGGTTGCAGTGAGCCAAGATTGTGCCACTGCACTCCAGCCTGGGTGCCAGAGCAAGACTACAACTCAAAAACAAACGAAAACAAAAAAACTTTCATTCTAGCAAGATTATATTGACCTCAGCAAGATTATGGCTTCTAAAAATAAAAGTATAAAAACACAGCATTCATGGCAACCAAAATGTGCACCCAATGAGTAATTTGCACTGCAGCAAATCTTAAGATTGCCTGCTTGCTCTCCTCTCCTCAGTCCACCCTCCTAAGTAATACCCAATGGCCCTAGAACAGTGAGAGGAACATGGGGCAGATCTGAAACCAATCTAAGCCAAGCTAGTGAGTAAAATCCAGCTAACCCTGTGATCCACGCTGAATCTGGGTCCTTCACTTATGCTGGACAGCCTCCTGAGCGGAGGACCATGTGAGTCTACGATCTGTCCATTCCACCTCTCAATCTGAAGGGCAAGCACTAGAGAAGATATGTGGTGTTTGTAGGTCAGTAATCAAAACTTGGGAAGGCCTGTAATCCCAGCACTTTGGGAGGCTGAGGCAGGCGAATCACTTGAGGTCAGGAGTTTGAGACCAGCCTGGCCAACGTAGTAAAACCCCGTCTCTGCTAAAAATATAAAAATTAGCTGGGTGTGTGGCACGCACCTGTAATCCCAGCTACTTGGGAGGCTGAGGCAGGAGAATCACTTGAGCCCGGGAGGTGGAGCTTGCAATGAGCCGAGATGGTACTACTGCACTCCAGCCTGGGCGACAGAGCAAGACTCTGTCTCAAAAAAAAAAAAAAAAAAAAAAAAAAAAAATTGGGAAGTGATTTCATTATGGTAAACTAACAGCAGGTATGGAACAGGACTCCTTGAGGGGCTTGTGGAGCTGGTGAATGAGCAAAGCCCCATCAGATGGTAAAAATCTTCTGCCAACCTCAGCAAAAACACCCTTTATCCCACCCGCTCCCTCTGCCACACCTACCTAACTTGCCAGGGAAAGGTCAAGCCAGTCTGTCCAAGAATATAACGACCAGTTTACTGTTCTCTTGTTCACCAGCCCTGAACAACTGGTGTGTGGGATGGTCCTCTCTGGGAGACATGGTGTTTGATACTGTGCTAATTGGGTGGCTAGAAAAAAAAAAGGAATACGCACTTTTAAGTGACATTTTAGAATTGTTTCAAGAGTTGCACCAAATATGCATTTTGGCTGAATGAGTATTAAAATCAGTATTTGGTGGTCATAGCTAAATATCGCTATTAGGAAACTGATTGTTTGGAACACAAGAATGAATTTGAAATTCTATCAAAAATTATTTTTTGAGACAGGGTCTCACTCTGTCGCCCAGGCTGGAGTGCAGTGGCGCGATCTCAGGTCATTGCAACCTCCGCCTCCCAGGCTCAAGCGATCCTCCCACCTTAGCCTCCCAAGTAGCTGGGACCACAAATGTGCACCACCATGCCTGGCTAATTTTTTGTATTATTATATTTTTAATAGAGACGGGGTGTCACCATGTTGCCCATACTGGAAAAAAATTTAATTGATACCATTTAATTATTACAATCATCAGAATTCTCCCAAGTTTGATGCTGGGCTGGTATGCTACTTTTTTTCTTTTTTGAGACGGAGTTTTGCTCGTTGCCCAGGCTGTAGTGCAATGGTGCGATCTCAGCTCACTGCAACCTCTGCCTCCTGGGTTCAAGCGATTCTCCTGCCTCAGCCTCCTGAGTAGCTGGGATTACAGGCATGTGTCACCACCATGCCAGGCTAATTTTGTATTTTTATTAGAGATGGGATTTCTCCATGTTGCCCAGTCTGGTCTTGAACTCCTGACCTCAGGTGATCTGCCTGCCTTGGCCTCCCAAAGTGCTGGGATTACAGGCGTGAGCCACCGTGCCCGGCCAGTATGCTACCTTCTTAGCACCACCTGTCGCTTTATTGCTCCTGCGGTATCTGCATGTTTGTAATACTAAATAGATGCTCACTTTGAGGTTGGTGGAAAGGCAAGTTGCTTTTTGGCTGGTCCTACCACCAAATTGGTTGTTCCATCCCAATAGCAAGGTAAAGACTTATGTCTTCCTTCTCAATTCCTAGACTTAAAAAATCTGGTTGATGCCAGTGCCTTTACACAACCCCTCAATCTCAAGCTTTGGGCAGTGCCTCAGGATGCTTTCTGAGATGCACTTAAAAGACTTGCCGTACTGATTCATTCCTGATATTTTGCATGCCTTATATTTTAAAATTCTTACAAACTTTTGTTAGTTCAAGAGTATAAAGTTCTTGAACTTATGTAGGTAAAATTCTATTTCCCTATTACTGCAAACTTTCTTAGTTTTAACTTTTTTTTTTTTTTGAGATAGAGTCTCGCTCTGTTGCCCAGTCTGGAGTGCAGTGGCAGAGTCTTGGCTCACTGCAACCTCTGCTTCCCAGGTTCAAGCGATTCTCCTGCCTCAGCCTCCCGAGTAGCTGGGATTACAGGCATGTGCCACCACACCTGGCTGATTTTTGTATTTTCAATGGAGACAGGATTTCACCATGTTGGCCAGGCTGGTCTCATACTCGTGACCTCAAGTGATCCACTCACCTCGGCCTCCCAATCACGCTGGAATTACAGGCATGAGCCACTGCACCCAGCCTAGTTTTAACTTTTTGATTACAAAACTGTTTACATGATTAACTGAAGTGCTTTAATCCTCTAACATATTTATCTTTCAAATAACTGACATAATTCTCACAACTGAAATACTTACCTGTGTTTGAAATTATTGGAATACTTGTAATACATCTGGATGACAACAAGTCCGTTGGAGCTACAGCTGATCAGATGGGATGGCAGTCATCTCTGTGATCACACAACTATGAACCACCCACTAATTCAGGGATGCACTAATGCAAGTACTCAATTCTATTTGAGTCGTAGGCTGAAGGTGTTGATAGTCCATCATTTCCACTCTTCTGAAGCTCACACGTTGGCAAGGATGAATGAAAAGTGACTTCTGCCTGTGCCTGGCCCAAGTTTTCCTAATCAAAGTTCCTGTGTGTTGCCATTGGTCTAAATCTTAGGGCTATTCATTGGTCTTATACCAGGGCTGTTTCCTGAATGCTTATGACTAAGGCAAGTTGTAGATTTTTGGTGGGCTAATCCTCACAATCCCATCGTTAAGTATTCTAGTTATTCCTCTTCTGTGGGTGAGAAGGAAACCAAAGCCTGGGGCAGAGGGTGCCATGTTCTTCCAGTCTGGGCTGATGCATACATCTGATTTGCAGGACTGAAAGTTCTTACTCATCAAAACCACCCCTGCAGATTCAAGCCAGCTGGTACATGAGGTTGAGTTTTGGGTCTTTTCCTCAAGATAGGAAAATGGAGACATAGCACTTCAAACCCACTTTGTTTGTTTAAGAGTCTCGCTCTGTCGCCCAGGCTGGAGTGCAGTGGCGTGATCTCGGCTCACTGCAAGCTCCACCTCCCAGGTTCACGCCATTCTCCTGCCTCAGGCTCCTGAGTAACTGGGACTACATGCGCCCATCACCATGCCCGGCTAATTTTTTCTATTTTTTTTAGTAGAGACAGGGTTTCACCGTGTTAGCCAGGATGGTCTCGATCTCCTGACCTTGTAATCCGCCTGCCTCAGCCTCCCAAAGTGCTGGGATTACAGGTGTGAGCCACCATGCCCGGCCTCAAACCCACTTTCTGGAAGTTTTCTTTAATGTCTTCTATAGACCCAAACATGAGGAAGACATTCCTTCTTTGTTCTGATGCAGATCCTCAGCTTTGTCCCTTCTACTAATTTCAGGTGATACTTGGATTACATGGCCCTTGTCTCCGTGTCTCAATTCACATGGTGTCTGCAAACTGCCAAAATAAACCTAAGATTTTTCATGCAGCACTTCCCTGCAATGGTTCCTTTGTGTTTTTTGGTATCATGATGCCTTAACTTGGTAGCTTGTATCTTCACTTCCCAGCAAACTGAATTCCCTTTCAAACGCTCATCATGGACCCACATTGAGAAATTTGATTGATATTCCTTTCCATCAGTTTAAATCATGTGCCTTCTTCATGGCTCAGCATTCAGTAATTTTTTCCTAGTCCCTGTGTTCCATATCCCATTTATGTGTATGTTACTCGAGAACTCTGGCCTTAAATCAAGGTACTTCAAGAACAAGGGTTATATGTGAGCATCTGTGCTGTCCACTGCAACTAGACATGGGCAGGCCTAGTTTGTGTACCAAATCAGCAATTTCTATGGGAGGGTATTACATAGATGATTGAGCGACTAAGGATGCCTAGCACCTGCCTTTCTGTATGGTTTTGTAATGGTGCTGTCATCTTGTGACCCAGAATACTTGACAAAAACAAAACCAAACCAAAACACTTAATAGAATAGTATCACACTAATAATTACAACTTCCTCTTTCCTAGTTACTTCTTTTGCATATGCTGAAAACATCCATGATGGTGTTCCCTTATGCAGTAAATGCTCAGACATACTTAGCTATCCATGGCTTGGTATCAGGTGCAAAGCAAAGCAAAGGCAAGTGACACTTCAAACTCAGCCAACCGAGATGTGCAAAGACACGAAAGAACTGGGATCGATAAGATAACCAAAAGCAAACATTTAGCAAATACCACCGAGTTGAGCATTCTAAAGACACCACACAACTTCACTCAAGATTCACAATGTGAGACGGCTTCTGCTATGGACGTTTCATAGCTAGGAACACAGTGGCTCAGCATTCAGGTCACTCACTCAAATCAGGTAGGAGGGGCCAAGACTTGGGTTATCACACACATCTCAAGTTCTGCTGTCAAACAGATTTCAAACTGAGTCTCTCCTAATGATCTCAGGTCCTAAAACCAAAGATTAATCTTGTCTTCTACTTGACCAATGTTCCTTAAGAAAAATTTGAGCCAGATACCACACTCCAATAATGATATAATCCTTAGTACTTGATAAATGTTCCTTAAGAAAAACTTGAGCCTGATACCACACTCCAATAATGATATAATCCTAGTAGAGCAGCCCAATTTTACTTTATAGCATTTTGAAATCCTAGTATCAATTCATTAACATTCAGGACATAAAGATGTGCAGAATTTGCCTTTGACACAATTATCATTCACTGTTTTCTTCCTATAGTCAAAGAAGTCTGGGAGAATATTACGTAAAAGTGAAACAGCACAAGTTTGGATATTGTCAATGTGGAGCAGGCAGGTAATGAGGTCCCCCTTCCCTCTTTGATGGGAGCATGGCAGGGTCCAGATGCCTCAGGACCGGGGCTTGTTAGCAGAGGGGAGTCCATGGCCCTGTGCTCTTCTGTGTCCTTCAAAGAGTTCCTCGCTAGGTCCTCTGCCAACGCCCTCAGGGAGACCACTTTGTAACAGGAAAAAAAGCTTTTCAAATGACATGCTCTTCACTCATTTTTAGCGTACCTTTGAGAAATTAAGATACATACTTGTGACAAAATATGACATGATACTGTGTTCCATATAAACCAGGGAAGGGGGAAGAGATCAAAGAACTGTGCATGAAAATATAGGTGGCTGACTCAGAAAACAAAGTGAGCTGCTTTCAAATTCGCCACTAAGTTCAAGTGAACCCAGACAGTAAGAAAACTATGGACACAGATTAATCCCCATCTCCCCAAATGGTAGAGGAGGATCGTTCCACCTCATCACTCTATTACACAAATAGATGTCTCCAGGTTACAACTCAAAGAGTATTAGTATCTGTATTATAATCCATCTTTGGAAAACAGACTATTTGAAAGAAGCAAAACCAAAATGCAACCGTGTGGTTTCCAGAGCAATTTATTCAGGAAAATCTATTCAATATGCCATCAACAGTTCTCCTGTGTGTATTGTGCTGATAAATAGACACTGAGAAGATTTAACAAGTTCATCATTTAATAAGTCTGAATTCATTTTCACCACACGGTATTGTACACGGTCATCTGTTGAAACAGATTTCTTTTTTAACAGATCTTAGTTTAAAAAAGTCATAGGTACTGTGAGTTCTGTATAAACTGGTGGACAGTAAGTTAGTTCCTTTGTTTTAACTTATAAGCCTCAACTTCACCGCAGAATAAAGAATGTAGGCCAAAGAAAGCATAATCGGTCACTCGTATAGAACAGTATTGTTTCTATAATTTGAAGCTTTCTGAATGGACGGGTTCAGGCCTGATGCAACTGTAAAAAGATTACTTAATGAATAGACTATATGGAAATTGTATAAAATGTTATTACCTTTTATCGTTAGTAGCTTAAACAGCACTATATCACTAATTGCTATTCAAAATCAAAAACCTGTTTTTGAATCCCCAAGAAGGCAGCATGTGTATACAACCATACCACCTTGTACTTAGGGGTGTGTCAAAACATAATTCAACAGAAACTTTGGCTTTAGGAAAGAGTCACAAATATTTAAAAGAATGGCTTTGTCATTTTAAGTATACGGTCGGGGAAAAGTGTGCTTTAATTAAATATACATCATACCAGTGATGCTGGCAAGGTTGAAAGTTACTCCTAATGTTGATAGCTATAAAAACTAGTTTGTACATAACAAGACAATGAGAGGAAAAAGCAATCCCTTTGAAACAAAATTCTCAAATAAAAAATGTTCACAGTGGTTTGTATCAACAGTATGCATTTTATGACAAGAACATGTACAGATTCAGAGCACCCTAGGGCTCTCTTTATGTCCTAAAGAAAATGAGCATTTACATGATTATGGGTTGTACTGAATTAAAAAAGATCAATTGTACACTTACTCCTCAGACAGGATAAACTGTCCTGGGGTGTACAGCTTTAACACCATCATTAAAATTGTTTGCAAAAGGAACAGAGAATTAAAAAACAAAACACTTTTCTTTTTGGAGTGAAGAGTCTTTCATTTGCTGTTATAACCAGCAAATGCCATTCACTAAATCAAAAATGGAAGGAAGGGCCCCCACAAACACAGATCTATCTGAGCAAGCTGACCAGTACACATTACAGTCTTAAAAATGAAGGTTATATACTCTATGTTACAAGTCCCGACTAGGCAGTGTCAAAACGACATCTATTTCTTTGCTTGCTTTGTGATCATACCCCTTGGAGGCGTTACAGGTCTCGTGGCATTTGGCTTCTTTTTCTCTGCAGGCTTTAAAATCTGGAGATTCAAAAGACAGTTAATTTAGGAAATATACTCAACCCCAAATCTTAAGAGTCCTTAAATTTCATTCAGATCTTCTGTTCAGATGGTGTTCACAACTGCCCCAACAACTGTAAAAGCCCCCCTAGCATATTAACACAAGCTATGTTGAATGTAAACATTTGGTAATTAACGCTATGACGAACAGATAAAATCTATTATCTGGACAAATTATTTTGCCTCTGAGTATAATGACAATCTTCTGAAGTCTACACCTGGTAGTATCTTTAGCTACTCCTTCTGATACAGGGGAAAAAGTTCTTTACAAAAGTGTTTCTCCAACCTGTAGGGGATCCTTGCACAATCTTTGGAATTTTGAAAGCTGCAAGTTCTCTCTGATAATTGGTAAAAAACTATTTTAATTCATTTAACTGATGAGTGCCACATGATTTGGTGGCTGTATTTATGTTTATGACTAGGCTGGCTTGAAGTTGTACAAGTATCATAATAAGCAAATGAGAAAAAGGCTGAGGCAGATTCTAAATAATGCTTTTGTGCCAACTGAAGGCCAAATGATGTCATGGTACATTAACAGAAGTTTTGTGGAAGTTAGACTAGAGGGCAGAACTAAGTAAACACATAGCACAAGGCACTCAGTACTTTTCACATTCAAGTGGTGATTTAATTTTAGCTGAACATTACATTGTCATTAAGGTTTTAGATTTACAGTAAAAGAGCCATAAGCATTAAGGAGCCAATATGCAATGCAAAAATTTATAATTCAACACTGGGAAAAGGTGCCATAATTAATTTTTTCTTTTACAAGGGATCCACACATTATTCAACTATAATACACACTGGTTAAGGGAAAATAAAAACTTAGCCTACTCAGCATAAGTGAACACTAGGCAAAAAGTAGCAATTATATTTTTCAATCAGCAAAGTGTAAACATATTAAAAGGAAATCATGTTGAAAGCATGCTCTACCTGAAAAGAACACATTAGTGTTTCATCCACACTCATCATGGCACCTGCATTGTCAAACTCTCCGCAATAATTGGGCGCAGAAAACAGAGTGACCAACTGCCTCTTTGCAAAAAATTCATATCCATCTTCAACCACCTTGAAGAGAAAATTTTTTCAATATAAATAGGTGCAAATATTAGGTGAGTAAAACCATGTTTCAGTTTCCCATTGAGCCTGATATCTTGTGTTCCAGAAACACTTTGTATAAATAAGCAATACCTACCCACCAAAATCAACAAGGAGAATCTGTGCTCACACACATGCTCTTAAGTGTACATGTAAAATTCAAAATCAATACCTGATGGGCTCTACATATAAGATCCAAATCATGCTTATGGAGAAATTTTGCAACCACTTCTGCACCAAATGTGAAGGACACTCCTCTGTCATTTTCACCCCAGCCTAAGACATCTTTATCGGGGTCAGACCACAAAAGATCACAAAGAAGACCTTGATCTGGTACATCAGTTGGTCGCATAATTCGCCGAATCTGCTCCATAGATTGAAGATCTGGTGATAAACCTATTCAATGAGGAAAAAAAAAAAATGAAGAAAGCAGAACTTTTAAAAGGATACTACCCCTTCAAAAGTTCCATTTGTCTACAGAGAAATTCAATAATCCTGACATAAAAACTGAAATCTATGATTATATTTTATTTACTTTTGGTTAAAAGAAAAAAACACAGAAAAAGGACAACTGGATACACACTAGAATTACATGCAGTAATGCATGGGGTGCAGTAGGTTTAAACAGTACATGGAAACAATTATATTATACAGAACACTGTAAAATAAAATCCAGTGATTTAAAAAACTCTTCTATGGGCTTCCCCCAGTTGATGACAATAATGAGCGATGTTATGATTGATGGCTTATAATGACTGAGCTGAGAAGATAAGGATGCTCAGTGTGAGGTAGTTCTCTAGGAAACCTGCACTGTTCACAGACCATTAAAATCTACAAGAGCTTATTGTATCGAGTTACAATATGGGATGCATATTGTAAGAGTTAAAAACCATGTATCCAACTCTACCAAAACCTAAGTACAGAAGCACAGAGATAAAAGACATTATGCAGGCTTTTTGATGGCTAAAATCTACAAGAGCTTATTGTATCGAGTTACAATATGGGATGCATATTGTAAGAGTTAAAAACCATGTATCCAACTCTACCAAAACCTAAGTACAGAAGCACAGAGATAAAAGACATTATGCAGGCTTTTTGATGGCTGATTAATTTCAGACCATACAGGAAAAGAAATTCTCTTTGCAATTACTATTTTAATTACATTATAGAAAGCACAACCACTGAGCAAAGCAAAACAGCTTATAACATATATATGTATATATTTTCAGAGATAGGGTCTTGCTCTGTTGCCTAGGCTGGAGTGCAGTGGTGCGATCATAGCTCACTGCAGCCTTAAACCCCTGGGTTCAAGCGATCCTCCCGCCTCAGCCTCCCAAATAGCTACGGCTACAGGTGTGCACCATTACACCTGGCTAACTTTTACAACTTTTTCTAATGACAGGGGTCTCGATATGTTATAGGCTGTTCTCATATTCATGGCATCAAGCAATCCTCCTGGCTTGGCCTCTCCAAAGTGCTGGAATTACAGATGCGAGCCACTATGCCTGGCCAAAATAACTTTTAAAATCCAAGTCAGAGAAAGTTCTGAGAGGATAAAAAACAATCAAGGGAAAATCTACTCACATCTTGAGTGTTCTAGAGGATCTCTGGCACAACAAATTACACATTGTTCATTTTATAGTTAAAAACACTCTTCTGCCGGGCGTGGTGGCTCAAGTCTGTAATCCCAGCACTTTGGGAGGCCGAGGCGGGCAGATCACGAGGTCAGGAGATTGAGACCATCCTGGCTAACACGGTGAAGCCCCGTCTCTACTAAAAATACAAAAAATTAGCCAAGCGTGGTGGCGGGTGGCTGCAGTCCCAGCTACTCAGGAGGCTGAGGCAGGAGAATGGCGTGAACCTGGGAGGCAGAGCTTGCAGTGAGCCGAGATGGTGCCACTGCGCTCCAGCCTGGGTGAGAGAGCGAGACTCTGTCTCAAAAAACAAAAACAAAAACAAAAAAAACCAAAAACTTTTCTAAGCCGGGCACAGTGGCTTACACCTGTAACCCAGCACTTTGGAAGTCCGAGGCAGGAGGACTGCTTGAGCCCAGGAATTTGTGACCAGACTGGGCAACGTGGTGAGAACTCATCCTTACAAAAAATAAAATAAAAATAAAAATTTTCTGCTCTATTTTCAAACCTAGCTTACAGAGTCTAGAATTCCCTGTAATAAATCAATTCCTTAAGATTTTTATCCAAATGATCCTGGCTGTATCAGAGTGAAAGTGCAATGCAACACATCAACAAAGGAGAGTGTTCTGTCAGAGAAAGTCATCCCAATGATAACTCACAAATGTTAAAGTGTTCACCCTTTGGAAGGGATCAAAACCTATTTGGAACAAAAATCAGCCCACCTACCTCCATGACAGCAGAATATCTTCTCATCCACGATGGCTGCTATCGGTAAACAGTTAAAACAGTCTGTGAAAGTTTTCCATAGTTTAATGTTGTATCTTCTTTTACCTGTGATTAAAAAGAGAGTATTACATTAAAAAGAGAGTATTACTGTTCCGTAGGCTCATTCTCTCAGGATTAACTTCCCCCAAAGCAAGATTCTGGGTGCCTTTTAAGCAAATGAAACTATGTTTTTATTAAGAATCTTAATAAAACCATCTTATTTTAAGGCTCTTTTAAAATAAGAGCTGGGCGTGGTGGGTCAGACCTGTAATCCCAGCACTTCGGGAGGCTGAGGTAGGAGGATGGCTTGAGCCCAGGAGTTCAAGACCATCTTGGGCAACATAGTGAGACCCCATCTCTTTAAAGAAAGACTCTCCTAGAGGGAAGGGGTTTAGGAGAGACACATATCTGATCTAAAAGCAATGACTTACATTTTCACATGAAATCTTTTTAAATTCCACAGAAGCATGAAACCAGAATTCCAGATTTGATAATGATTAAGGACTGCCATCAAATCCCAGGAATTATCTGGGAGCATCAATTCTGTTTGAAATTGTCTGCTCTGTCCAATCTCACCGCAGCTAGTCCCCTACTTCTGAATTCAATTACGAACTTACACATGTGGCGTTATGACCTTCCTTCTGAGGAAACCTGAGAGTTAGCACCCATCCCCCATATATGCCCCTCAATAACCTACTGACACCAGAGGATCCCCAGCCCTCAGTACTCTAGCAGGAGGCACAATGATCACACGGCAGTGGCTGCCTCTCACAGGCACTACAGGGCATTTGTTTCCAACACTGCACAGACTCCACATGCTCCCACAGGCCTGATGTCACAGGATGGTCATGTTCCCTCAACAGCACAGGCATCCACACATTCTGGAGTCAGAGTGCAGTTCTGACAGAAATATGCCTCTATGCACTGTTTCTACAGGAAACTGATGTTCTGAGTTTAAAACCTAGTCACATACCTTGCAAGAACAAATTTCTCTGGATTGGTTGAGGATTGTCCAATTGTCCAGATGCCTTTGTTTCCTGTACTTACTATACTAAGCACAATCTTTAAAAACCAGGAGTTTGGCCAGGCGCGGTGGCTCACACCTGTAATCCCAGCACTTTGGGAGGCCGAGGCGGGCAGACCATCTGAGGTTGGGAGTTTGAGACCAGCCTGACCAACATGAAGAAATCCCGTCTCTACTAAAAATATAAAAATTAGCTGGGCGTGGTGGCGCATGCCTGTAATCCCAGCTACTTGGGAGGCTAAGGCAGAAGAGTCACTTGAACCTGGGAGGCGGAGGTTGCGGTGAGCCTTGATTGTGCCATTGCACTCCGGCTTGGGCAACAAGAGCGAAACTCCGTCTCAAAAAACAAAACAAAACAAACAAAACAAACCAAGAGTTTGTCCTTAGTCTCTTTTCCTGGGGAATACAGGGACATCTAAAGGTTTAAACCTATACCTCTCCTTTGAGAGTTAGAGCCAGCCCAAGCAACTGACCTGAACCACACCTCCCACCCTGTAATGCAAATCAAGCAGCTTAGGGAGTTTACCACAGGGCTTGAAATGAAATGTAAATTCAACAAATGTTTGCCTTCTCTCTGCAGAGGAGTGTTATCTTTTCTCCTAATAATTTCTGGTTTCTCAATGACTGGGTCTAACACTGACTATGGTTCACCCTGTTGCATATTTCTTTAGAGGTCCTTCACTAGGGGGTTCGGAAAGTTTAACAAACTTCTCCCGCCAGGCTGAGGAAGGAAAATTGCTTGAACCTGGGAGGCAGAGGTTGCAGTAAGCCAAGATCGCACCATTGCACTCCAGCATGGGCAACAAGAGTGAAACTCCGTCTCAAAAAAAAGCAAACTCCTTCTTACGAAAGGCTGAAGGGCAATCTCCAAAAACCACCAACTCCCATTTCCAACAGCAATACTACTACTACTACCACCACAGGATGAGTATCCTTAATCCAAGATGCTCCAAAATTTGGAACTTTTTGAGCACTCACATGATGCTCAAAGGAAATGCTCACTGGAGCATTCTGGATTTCAGATTTTTGGATTAGGGATGTTTAACCAGTAATTATAACACAAATATTCCAAAATTAAAAACAAAAACAAAAAACCTGCAACACTTCTAGTGCCAAGCATTCCCGGTAAGGAATACTTAACCTGTATTATAAAAACAGAGCTGCTGTCTTAGCTCCCCAGTGACAGTGACTTCCTCTTTCCCCAAGGTCAGCTTCACTTCTGGATACTTTTTTTGAGGTGGGGTCTCACTGCATCACCTAGGGGGAATGAAGCGACGCAATCTTGGCTCACTGCAACCATGGTCTCCCAGGTTCCAGTGATTTTCCTGCCTCAATCTCCTGAGTGTCCGCGACTACAGGTGTGCACCACCACAGCTAATTTTTGTATTTTTAATAGAGATGGGTTTTCCCCATGTTGGTCAGACCTCCTGACCTCTTGTGATCAGGTTGAACTCCTGACCTCAAGTGATCCACCCACCTTGGCCTCCCAAAGTGCTGGGATTACAGGCGTGAGCTACCACGCCCCGGCTTTGATTCTTTAGTTATGCCACATACTCCAGCTTCTCCTGCTGATTCCTGCTGGCTTCTCCATCAAAAATCAGTTTGTTTCCTCCTTTTCCCTCTCAGCACTTTAAGCGTGGGCCTGCCTCTTTCTATTCTCTCTTCATTTCCTCCCTAAGGCTACCTCAGACCACTAGGAACATCTGGCTCCTGAAAGGTTTAGCCAGGGTAATCGCCTAGCTTCCAAATCCTAAGATTCTGAGCCATAACCTGTAATGCGGTTTCGCATTACTGTACATCAGACAGCTACGGCAGCAGAAACAGATCAACAAACACTCATGTTTTACCCAACAACATATACCTCAGCCTTTCCATCACATTTACAAAGTTAAAAAAAAAAAAAAAAGAAATGGTAGTATAAAGTACTTATGTACCTGGAAAACAGGCAGTGGTTTTTAAATTGTCCCATGAAAATCAACATTTGAATACAACTTTTCATTTTAATAAAATTAGTTAAGTATTTTATATATATATTAAATGTCTGCAAGCCTTCAACCAAAAGCCACCTATGTCAAGGGCACTTTCATGCCCACAAGTAGACTGGATGGCAAATTATATCTGCCTGATGAGAGAGAGGAAGCTTGAGCATAAGATCTACAAATTGTGTTGATGACCAAACAGGAGTCGAAACTGATACCAACCAACACTGATCTTCTAAGTCATTTTTTAAAGGCCTCTGCATTAAGTAGAAACCGAAACTGATGCAGCCAGTATCATTACATTAGGATACACGTCACAAAAATGAGGTCAACTGGATTTGAATTCATCAGTGCAAACATGAAAAGTATTTGCTGGGCTAACAGCTATGTAAAAGGAATCCTTTAACTCAAGAGCAGGCCAGGCACGGTGGCTCACGCCTGTAATCCCAGCACTTTGGGAAGCAGAGGCGGGCGGATCATGAGGTCAGGAGATCGAGACCATCCTGGCTAACACAGTGAAACCCCGCCTCTACTAAAAATACAAAAAATTAGCCGGGCGTAGTGGCGGGCGCCTGTAGTCCCAGCTACTCGGGAGGCTGAGGCAGGAGAATGGCGTGAACCCAGGAGGCGGAGCTTGCAGTGAGGCGAGATCGCGCCCTGCACTCCAGCCTGGGCGACAGAGCGAGACTCCGTCTCAAAAAAAAAAAAAAAAACAAAAAACAAAAAACTCAAGAGTAACACTTGGAATAAGTATCCAAAACACAGTGTTGGCTGGGTGTGGTGGCTCATGACTGTAATCCCAGCACTTAGGGAGGCTGAGGTGAAAGGATTGCTTAAACCCAGAAATTACAGGTGGTAGTAAGCTATGATCCCACCTCTGCACTCCAGCCTAAGGCTCTGTCTCAAAAACAAACAAAAAAAACCCATCACACCTGCCTTGCATTTCACTACCTAAGGAGTAGTAACTGGCTTACTGGTACTTCTCTGACACAGAATCACTGTTAATATTGAATACCTTTCATGTACAAGTTCAATGCTATCAGTCAGTCCAGAACCCATAGAATTTTTGTCCCTGATGATTCCTGCCACCCCATCTTATCAGCTGGATCTCAAGGTCACAGACCAAGCAAACATCCAGTTGTGGGAAAGGGTGGTAGTAGAAGGGCTCAGTTTGTGAATATAATCTTTCTAGGATGCACTTCTAACAAATGTGCTAGCTCAACATATCTATGTGAATTGAGATGGAAAAACACTGCATCTGGAGACTCTAGGTTACGATGTGGTCTAGGGGAGGGCCACAGGGACAACCCTTTGCTGATATCCCTATAATCATATTAGCAAATGCCAAGTACCTGAAGTTCCTTAACCACCTCTTCACTCCAAACCTGAAACCCGTCCTGGCAGCAATGATGAGCACAAAAGGAAGGTGAAGGTAAAGATTCAAAACCTTTTCTGACTTGAAACCCTTTACTGAACTGATATTTTCAAAGCTTTTTTTTTTTTTTTTTTTTGAGACGGAGTCTCACTCTGCCACCCAGGCTGGACTACTGTGGTGTGATTTTGGCTCACTGCAACCTCCGACTCCTGGGTTCAAGTGATTCTCCTGCCTGAGCCTCCTGAGTAGCTGGGACTACAGGCATCTGCCACCACGCCTGGCTAATTTTTGTATTTTTAGTAGAGATGAGGTTTCCTCATGTTGGCCAGGACGGTCTTGATCTCTTGACCTTGTGATCCACCCGCTGTGGCCTCCCAAAGTGCTGGGATTACAGGCGTGAGCCACTGTGCCCAGCCTATTTTCAAAGCTTTAAGAACTGTGTTTTGTCAATAGTCAAATCGAAGTATACCTTTAATTAAACAATCCAAAATGGGTCACAAAATGTGTAAAATACTGTAAAAATAATCTTTGTTCAGCACATTTTAGTTTTAGGAAAGTTATTGCCATTCTTCCTGGGTGTGGATATGCCAGAAGGAGAAAAACTATAATAATTTCAAAAACTAATTATTTACGTATTGCAAGATTCCATTTGCATGCAATATTCTCTAGAAAAGACAAAAAGTAGATTAGTGGTTGCCTGGGGACTATGGTGATGGTCGCATAACTCTATAAATTTACTACAAATCGCTGAATTGTACACTTTTAACAGAATAATTTTATGGAATGAAATTACATAATAAAGTTGCTTAAAAAAACTATTTGGAATGGTTCTCAGATTTCTACTAAGAATTAAGTTATCTGTGAATACAACAATTTAAATCTTAAAGCAACCATTACCATGATCATTACTTCCTAATCTGATCATCACATCATAAAAGAATCCAAGACCTTATTTTATTACAGCGGCAGTGTTATTTTTCTACCCAAGAGAGAAAAAACTGGCTGGGCATCATGGCTCACGCCAGTAATCCCAGTACTTTGAGTGGCCTAGGCGGGCAGATTCCTTGAGCCAGGAGTTTCAGATCAGCTTGGGCAACAAGGTGAAACCCCATCTCTTCAAAAAAATACACAAATTAGCCAAGCGTGGTGATGCATGTCTGCAGTCCTAGCTACCTGGGAGGCTGAGGCAGGAGGATTGCTTGAGCCTGGGAGGCAGAGGTTGCAATGAGGTAAGATGGTGCTACTGCACTCCAGCCTGGGCAACAGAGTGAGACTCCGTTCCCCCACCCCCCTAAAAAAGCTAAGCTAAAAACAAGTTGATGAAATAGAAAACATGAGAGATGATACCACTGCATCTAAACTCTCACAATTCCTAACAGAAGTATGTGATAATTGTTTATGATAAATATCTTAATTTCAATAACTCTTCCTTAGATATAGAAAAGTACTTACATTCATCATAAAATCCATAAATTCTGTTGATGCTGGCACATTCATGGTTCCCTCTGAGAAGAAAAAAATTCTCAGGATATTTTATTTTGTAGGCCAGTAAGAGGCAGATCGTCTCCAATGACTGCTTTCCCCTGTCCACATAGTCCCCAAGAAACAGGTAGTTGCTTTCTGGTGGGAAACCACCGTACTCAAAAAGTCGCAGCAAATCATAGTATTGTCCATGGATGTCACCTGGAAGCAAGAATTTTGTTACACAGTGTTCCCATACTTAAAGCTCAATCCACTAACAAAGCTTTGGAAAGACATTCTTTAAATATTCATTGTACAATGGCATTGACCTCTAGTAATGAGAGTTTAACTGGGCAGCCAACACTAAGTAATTTCCAATCTTATATCATATTTAGTTCAACTGAGCTTAACAAAAATTTTAAGTATATGTGTATGTCCAGAACCTCACATAAAATTCAACTATTAAGAATTTATTCTGTGGAAAGGGTTATTATGTCCAAGCATGCATTCTTGCCAAGTAACATGGTATCCCTTTCAGGCTGACTGATCAATATCAGATCTCTGACAGCTCAGTCTCTGGGTACTGTGTCAGCAGAACTGCTGCACTTCTAGTGAGTCTTGGCCCCATCTGAACAAAAGCACATACACACATACACACCACCCCCACCCCCCACCCATCAATGCATTTAGCTTTCAATTTCTCCCTGCTAGATAATGCCAAAGAACATTTTACTTTTAAAAACATGAACACAAAGTTTTATCAATGCAAATATGCTATAAGAATATATTACTCAAACGAATAAAGTTTGGTTTTACATTGAGTTAAAACACAGATTATTTGCTTCTATTATGCAGAAAACAGAACCACAAAATCAGTATCAAGGAAGTTCTATTTTTAGCTATAACCAGTGTTGCTTTAAACTTAAACATATTCCTATACATCCATGTAGTTCAGACCTTTCCTCAGCTCTCCATTCTTAGTTTCATTTTTTTCTTTTGCAATGTTTATTCCTTCAGCAAAATATTTTTTTTAAAAATCTGAAGTACATCTAAGTAAACTAAGTCCATTAGAGGTATTTATTCTAAAGCTACTATTTAACTTACTTTTAAGTAGTTCCAAGCTATTCGCAAACAGGATAATCATTCTGCTAGCTAATACAAGGTCATCAACATATCCTTGACTCAGTTAATCAATCATGTAACAAAAGATAACCTGTGTGCCCCAAACTTACCACATATTTTGAGTGGTGCTTCAAGTTCTAGTAGGATAGGCTGACTGAGAAAGATTTCACGAGACTTTAAGCACAGTCCTCTGATTTCATTCTCCTGAAGCTGGACATTCTTACCAGGCTTGGACCCTCTCACTGCAAGAGAAAAATCGCAATTAGTCCAATGAAGCCAAAATACAAAATACAATACGAGATTTAGATAAAGGGGCAAAAACATGGTTTAACTAGCTTTCTGAGTGGCTTCATTTTCAGGACACTTATAATAAACATGGTTTTAATGTCTAATTAGAATCTTAAAATCTTAGACAAGACTTAATTGCATCTTCGATACCAAGTAAGACTTCTTTTATAGTATTCCAAAAAAGGAGCCATCCTGTCTGTGCGAATGCTGTTAGAAACAGGACTGCAGGCCAGATGCAATGGCTCACGCTTGTAATCCCAGCACTTTGGGAGGGTGAGGCGGGCAGATCATGATGAGGTCAAGAGATCCAGACCATCCTCGCCAACATGGCGTGCACCTGTAATCCCAGCTACTCAGGAGAATCGCCTGCACCCGGGAGGCGGAGGTTGCAGTGAGCCAAGATCGCGCCACTGCACTCCAGCCTGGCAACACAGCGAGACTCCGTCTCAAAAAAAAAAAAGAAAAGGAAAGAAAAGAAAAGAAAAGAAACAGGATTGGAAATACTCAGAACCCTCCCCCATCAGTGTTTTCCAGAGGACCATGGGTATCTCCTCCTGAGGATCTCTGATTTAATTTACCTATGAAAAAATGTTAGTGTTGTTTTCATTTCATTAAGAAAATGTTGGTTCATTGTACTTATTTTGCCATGCATTTTCTGGGCCTGCATTTGTGTTTATGCTCATGTCTATATAGGGCAAAGGATGTCAGTCATGTGCTATACTGTAAGAAAGCACGTTCCCTAATAATTTGAACAGATAAGATAATAATGGGAGAAAGAAATCATTGCACAGCATGGGGCATCCACACCACCAGAGCACTTAGGGTTCTTCTATCAAAGTACAAACTTTGCAACAGAACTCACTTGTCAGCACGTAGGTAGTTGTGGGAAAGAAATTTTGTTTTGGTTCCAGTTGTAACAGACTGGATAGTCATTAGATACAGATAAAGTAGCACGGAACTGCTAAATGTACCTTAATTTTACAGTTATAAAGTTCACTTTTGGACCCCAAAATATGTAACTAAGTCTCGTTCTGATAAAAATATTATACAACAAGAAGCAATAAAAGCATAGTAATAATAGTCTTCGAGGAAAGATATGAAACAGATGCATATTTAATAAAACAGCAACTGAGCAACAAAAATGTTTTTTTCGTAAGTAATTTTTTTTCTCTCTAGACACACATACAGAGTTAGAACTCAGGAAATACTCCCGGTGAAAGATGGGATCCCCACTTCATTGGCCAGAAAATGCCAATCATTAGTGATTTCACCATAAGTTAACCAAAAACTTGGGCAGACTGCCCAGCAGGAAGCTTTATTTTTGGCTAGGAAGGAAATCCTAGAAGCTTCTGGTTTCAACGTGAATTTTTTTCAGCAGAGTCCCACACTTATGAATGAATAGCTGACTCTAAGTCTTCTAGGAGAGTATTTCTGCGATAAATAGCTCATACCATATAATGGCAAGCTTTGTTTTATGAATGCTATTGCAGTTAGTCAATGCCATCAGATGAAATCAATGTTGCTAACAATTTTTTTTTTTGGCTTTGGACGCTCTCCACTGTCACCTTTGAACATAGTTTATATTTGTTTTAACTCCTTTATTCTGTTTCTGTTTGTCCTCTGGGTGGGGACATTCAGAGATCAGTAAAAAGCAAAAGCAATACTAACAACAATTTAAAAATTCTTCTTTTTTGAAGAAGCCTGGTGCCCAGGCTGGAGTGCAGTGGCATGATCATGGCTTACTGCAGCCTCAACCTTCCAGGCTCAAGTGATCCTCTTGCTCTGGCCCCCCAAGTGCCGGGATTACAGGCATGAGCCACTGCACCTGGCCTTAAAAATTACTCTTAATATTAAGATTAGATGCAGCTTTTCCAGAGAAAATAAAGATTTGTATTTAAAGAATGGTGCTTATGAAAAACATCAACAAACATGGTCTGAAAGCTTCTTAAATTCCCTAAAATTAGCAGAAAGAAAAAAGTTATATAAAGATAGAAACTGCCAAAACCATCTTCCATCAGTTATCATACAACTGCTCAGACTTCAGGCCTCTGCTCAGATACCACACTTCACCCTGGAGAAAAGCTTCTCTCATCCATCTCCTCTCCCCTCACAAGCTTGCTGCATGCTTTTTGAAAGGCTCTCTCAACATCAGGTCACTACCCACCACACCCCCTCAACCATGCTTGTATTTGTTTTATACTTGCCAGTTTGCTTCTGCCGGCTCATCTGGACCCACTGGTAGAATGTAAACCCACAGCAGCAGTCCTGCTCTGTAGTGTACACCAGCCATAGCCAGCACACAGCAGGTGCTCAAAATTTGTTGCATGACTGAAATCTGGATAAGTCTTTAAGTAGTGTTGACTGGTGGCATTAGAATTAAACATATATTCCAGACTATATATTTATTTATTTAGAGACGGAGTTTCACTCTTGTTGCCCAGGCTGGAGTGCAATGGCACGATCTCGGCTCACTGCAACCTCCGTCTCCCGGGTTCAAGCAATTATCCTGCCTCAGCCTCCCGAGTACCTGGGATTACAGGCATGCGCCACCACATCCAGCTAATTTTATACTTTTAGTACAGATGGGGTTTCTCCATATTGGTCAGGCTGGTCTCGAACTCCCGACCTCAGGTGATCCACTGCCTCGGCGCCCAAAGTGCCAGGATTACAGGTGTGAGCCACCGTGCCCAGCCCAGACTATATACTTTTGATGAGCAAAAAGCCTGTTTCTGCACTATAAAATTATAAAACAATAGGGCCACTTGCTTACCAGGCTTTACTGGAGTATTTTTCAAAGTATGAAAATCTAGAATTACTCTTAAATTTCACGTTGAATTGTCTAACAGAGATTTCAAATGGGGCTTGGCAGTCCAAGTGAACACTGGAGAGTTCTTAAAAGTTGTCATATCAGGCTGGGCGTGGTGGCTGGTTACTGCGGAGGCTGAGGCAGAAGAATCGCTTGAACCCGGGAGGTGGAGGTTGCAGTGAGCTGAGATCGTGCAACTGCACTCCAGCCTGGGCGACAGAGTGAGACTCCATCTCAAGAAAAAAAAAAAAAAAAAAAAAGTTGCCATATCAGCCAAAAGCATACAAATTCACTTCACTATTTTTTTCTTTCTTTTTTTGAGATGGAGTCTCACTCTGTTGCCAGGCTGGAGTGCAGTGATGCGATCGTGGCTCACTGCAACCTCCACCTCCTGGGTTCAAGTGATTCTCCTGCCTCAGCCTCCCAAGTAGCTGGGATTATAGGCGTGCGCCACCGTGCCTGGCCCACTTCACTATTTTCAATGTCCATCAAACAGAATTATTTACTCGTTGTAGTTAACATTTACTGAGCACTTATCCACTAGGCACTGTACTAAGGGCTTTATATTGCCATTCAATCCTGTCAACGATCCTAGGAAGTCAGGCACTGTCATCTCCCATTTTACAGTGACTTAGTCCAAGGTCACAGAGCTTAAGGACACGAGGCCGCGATGCTACATCTAGTGGTGCATTCTTAATTCCCAATTAAGAATCTGTTCTACATTGAACTTCAAAACCAAAGGAGAAGGTTGGGCACGGTGGCTCATGCCTGTAATCCCAACACTTTGGGAGGCCGAGATGGGTGGATGACCTGAGGTTAGGAGTTCGAGACCAGCCTGGCCAACATGGTGAAACCCCATCTCTACTAAAAATACAAAAATTTGCTGGGCATGGTGGTGCACGCCTGTAACCCCAGCTACACAGGAGGCTGAGGCACGAGAATCACTTGAACCTGGGAGGTGGAAGTTGCAGTGAGCCGAGATTGTGCCACTGCACTCCATCCTGGGCAACAAGAAAGAAACTCCGTCTCGGCCAGGCACGGTGGCTCATGCCAGTAATCCCAGCACTTTAGGAGTCCGAAGCGGGCGGATCACCTGAGGTAAGGAGTTCGAGACCAGCCTGGCCAACATGGTGAAACCCCGTCTCTACTAAAAATACAAAAATTAGCCAGGCGTGGTGGCAGGCACCTGTAATCCCAGCTACTCGGGAGGCTGAGGCAGGAGAATCGCTGGAACCCACGGGGCAGGTTGCAGTGAGCCCAGATCGCATCATCACACTCCAGCCTGGGGAACAAGAATAAGACTTTGTCTCAAAACAAACAAACAAACAAACAAACTCCGTCTCAAAACAAACAAACAAACAACAACAAAAAAGCAACACCAACTTAGACCTAAGGATGTGACTTTTCAGTAGAAGTATTAATATTTCTTTATCTGGCTAGAAAGGGAGATTCAGGAAAACGTATTATTACTGTTAAAAGCGAAGGTTGCTCTGTAGAAATGTATCTGATCTATTTTTCTGGCAAATCACTGACACGAGCAATAATAAAAACTTCCACACATTTTTATTGAAAACAAACTGGTAAAAATTTGAATTATAAAAGAATAGCAGCCAGATGTGGTGGCTTGGGCCTATAATCCCAGCACTTTGGGAGGCCGAGGTGGGAGGATCACTTGAGCTCAGGAGTTAGAGACTAGCCTGGGCAACATGGTGAAATTGAGTCTCTACCAAAAATACAAAATATAGCTGGACATGGTGGCGTGCGCCTGTAGTCCCAGCTACTCGGGAGGCTAAGATGGGAGGATCACTTGAGCCCGGGAGACAGATGCTGCATTGAGCCGAGATCATGCCACTGCACTCCAGCCTGGGCCACAGAGTGAGATCCTGTCTCAAAAAATATAAATAAATAAAATAGCATTGGTGATTATTTACAACACCAGCTCTTTCTCATAAGCAATACTAACTTTTGAAAGTTAGCTGCTGGCAAAAAGCAAAGCAAAGATGGAAACTATGGAAGGAAATTTAAGACAAGTTTGAGATTATTTATAAGGAATAAAAAAGTATTTTCCTTGCCACATAAAGGCCCCTTAATTGTTTAAATAAAAACATATTAAAGAAATAGCATATACTAAAAAAGCCCTAGCTGAATTCTAATGAAGTTTCAGAACCTAAGAAAGGCACAAGTGGTATAAAAATAAGCCAACGAAGATTTTGCTGTTTTAAAATAATCCTGTTAAAAAGTAGGTGATAATTTTAACAATATGCCACATCATATTCATTTCAGTGAAATCAATAGCCTCATGATATTTGACAGATTTAGGAAAATAAGACTCAAACCAAAACAAAAAACAGTAAATACTTCCAACATTAAGCATTCCCATAAACGACTGAGTTCTTTTCTGCAAAAAGTATAAACCACAAAAATGTTATCAAGAATCCTTTGGGCCGGATGCGGTGTCTAACGCCTGTAATCCCAGCACTTTGGGAGGCCAAGGTGGGTGGATCAGCTGAGGTCAGGAGTTTGAGACCAGCCTGGCCAACATGGTAAAACCCCATCTCTACCAAAAATACAAAAATTAGCAGGGCATGGTGGTACATGCCTGTAGTCCCAGCTACTCAACAACTGAGGCTGAGGCAGGAGAAATCGCTTGAACCTGGGTGGTGGAGGCAGCAGTGGGCCGAGATCCTGCCACTGCACTCCAGCCTGGGTGACAAAGAAAGACTCAAAAAAAAAAAAAAAAAAAAAAAAGAAAAGAAAAGAAAAAAGAACCCTTTAAGTTTCTCTGCAAAGTCACCAGCAGAAAGACTTCCATGTTCTGATTATCACAATTGTTTCCACACCCTGCCCTCTCCCATCCTGATTTTCCTAACAGATGGGGTTACACTTCAGGCATTGAGAAGTGACACCAAGGCAGGGAGCTGTGGTTCACGCTTGTAATCCCAGCACTTTGGGAGGCTGAGGTGGGAGGACTGCTTGTGGCCAGGAGTTAAAGAACAGCCTAGGCAACACCCCTGTCTTTAAGAAAAAAAGAAAAAGAAAAAAAAATTAGCCAGGTGTGGTGGTGTGTGCCTATAGATCCGGCTAGCCAAGAGGATGAGGAGGAAGAATCGCTTGAACCCAGGAGTTCAGGTCTCCAGCCTGGGGACAGAGTGAGACCCAGTCTCTAGTAAAAAAAATAAAAGTGACACCATTTTTTTCAAGGCAGATAGGATGTGGCTGCAAAACACTGTCTACTGTTCTCAATAAAGCATCTTGAGTTTTCTACACCTCGAGTAAAGCCAATCCATTAAAAACTTTAATTTTCACAGTCTAAGAACACATTTCGGTAATATACCACTGAGTAGACTACATTTTGAGTTTTCATTTGCTGTAAGCTTTACTGTCGGTGATGACCACTACCTTCTAGAAGAGGGATGACAGTAAACCCCAGTGAAGTGGGGAAGCTGGAGATTTCAGACAAATCACCAAGATCCACAAACACATCATCTGTTCTTGATGCTTTGGATACAGAGGTATGATCTTAAAATATCAAACTCTATCCTGGAATTCCATAAGCTCCATGGAAATGAAATCCTTCCTTCTTGGTCTTGAATGACTTTCCAGTTCTTTATCTACAAAGCGACTGACACCCAGAATATTATCTCCTTCATATTTTAATCTCTCAGGTCAACTAATGGCCTCAATTGTAAATTAAGTTAAATGGTGAAGTCCACATAACATCAATAATTTCCCTGCTTCACCATCAGGAATCCTCACCTAGTCAAGTGGGCTGACTGGTACTGTGATTCTGCACAACAGGTTACAGGTTGTAATAGGACTGTGCTTTCAAAGACATCAAATCACCTCACTAATTTCTACAGCTGACCACTGCTGGGCTACAACTGCATGTCCATTTGCCCAGTTATGAGGAGGAACACCCTAGGCTCAGAATGCAGAGCGCTCCTGTGTGTCACATCCCCCGCAAGCACAACGTCACACACAATTCTGTCAGATTTCACTGCTGCCTCCTGCTACTGACAGGCAAGAGGGCACTGCGGGCACAAGGAGAGTAATCCTTTTTCAATGCTGTGGTTTAAAAAAGGACTCCTGCAAGCTGCAGATCATCTGTCTCCAACAGAGCTTTCCCACCTTGCCTAGGAGGAGAGGAAGTGGGCATATGACCAACATACTGATGGGAAAGGAAGGGCAAGGGCTCACATCAGAGTTCTTATCAATGAGGGAATTAGAAACTGACAACTTGGATGTGAGTGTAAAAATTACCTGCTCTGTAAACAAATAATTACAGGCTGGGCACGGTGGCTCATGCCTGTAATCCCAGCACTTTGGGAGTCTGAGGCGGGCAGACCACTTGAGGTCACGAGTTCAAAACCAGCCTGGCCTCATCTCTACTAAAAATACAAAAACTTGGCCGAGCGTGGTGGTGCATGCCTGTTAATCCCAGCTACTCAGGGGGCTGAGACACCAAAATCGCTTGAACCCGGGAGGCAGAGGTTGCAGTGAGCCAGGATCCCACCACTGCACTCCAGCCTGGGTGACAGAGTGAGACTCTGTCTCCAAAATAAAATAAAAAAATAAATAATTACAGGTGTTCATTAGGAAAGATTACTTTTGTTTTTTTTTTTGGTTAGCATATTAAGAAACCTTCCCCTTTTTAAACCATTATGTTTGTCCTTTATTATCTTTAGGACCAGGGATGGCTAAACACCAGAATATGAACGTTTTATACTGCATCAAAAAGATGAACATATGGGTTATTTAAACAATCTTAGAGTTTCAGAATATCTGAACACTCCCTACCTTCAGAACAACCCTTATGTATCAGAGGATTAAATCTGTAAGCACTTTCTGTGAGCCAGGGCAGAGATCATATTTAAATCACTAAAACAAGTCAGGCAATTCTGCAGAGCCTGACATGGTCTTGCACTTTGACAATGGCCTTCTTCAAAGCAAAGATGCTTCTTGCAAACCAAGATGTGAAGTAAGTTACAACCACCTGCTATGCAAAAAAAATGCTAGCCACCATGGCTCCTTGAAGGAGGTCATTTACAAAGTAAAACTGCCCCAAATCTCACTTGTCTTCAATACATCAGACCAAATCAACAGCTGGCTTATTTTCTCTCAAAATGCCGTTTTACTGTGTAGTTATTTAAATAACTAACATCAGTTATACTAAGGAGTTAACAACCTTAAGTTTTATCATCAGCAAGGCAGAGCTTGGATAAAAGCATCCATGGTGGGTTGCAGAGGTGATGCCTCGCTTACAGAAATACTCAGAGTTCAGAGAAGAAAAGAACTGCAAAGGTTAGTGACTAAGATCTAAACCAACATGCTGTTTTTCTTAAGACTTCACTTTTCAGTTAGCTTTTTAGTACTATTACTCAGCTACTTCTCAACTAGGTTATACTGCTCGCAAGCTTAAAAGATCAATTCTAAACACGTAAAAAAATCTGGCCAAAGTCACAAGTCATATTCCCTCTACTTTCAGATATACTTACATCTTATTTAGGGAAAAAAAAGGTTTTGGGGGCATTATGAAAAGAATAAAATTTAGGCCGGGCACGGTGGCTCATGACTATAACCCCAGCACCTGGGGAGGACGAGGTGCGAGGACTGCTTGAAACCAGGAGTTTGAGAACAGCCTGGGCAACACAGTGAGACTCTCATTTCTATTTTAAATTATTAAATTTAATTTTTTTAAATAAAAAATTGTAAAACAGAATTTATTACCAACATCATTTAACTTAGATATCTACATATCCTCAATGGATCATCTTCAACTGTTTCTCTGCCAATTTAACACCCACGAGAAAAAAAGAAATTTAAGTATACTTTGCAGTTAGCCTATTCCCAAGGCATTAAAATGCACTGCTTTATTAATTTCAGCAAAAAATGAAATATAAGAAAACCTGGTTTTCAAGTGCCACATAACAAGAGGAACTATTAAGAAACAATGATCTCATTTTAGATGTATCATTACTTACCAGGCAAAGTACTTATTACAATTTTAAAGATCAAAATTAACAAAAGCTGTTTATGAATAGAGGCAGTTATGGGCAAACCAGAACTTAAATTAGCAAGCCTTAGATGATCTTAAAATTCTAATGTTTCTAATCCATGCAAATTCCAACTTTTCCTGTTTCCTCAGAGAAATAAAGCCACACATATCCCTGCAGAGATAAGCAGAATTTTAAAATTTAGAAAGAAAATATTTAACAAAAAGTTCCTTTCTTACAGCAAACTATTTTAATCAGTTTCTGACCAACTGCTGCCTCGAATAAATTAAAGAACTATATTAACTAGTATGAAAAAGTATGGTTCTTATATAAATACCTGGCATTAAAAGAATGACAAGGTTTTCACCTACAATACAAGGTTTTCACCTGCAATAACATTTCAAGAGCATTTCAGGGGTCCTTAATGACATTTAGTGTTTTTTTTGTTGTTTTTTTTTTAAAGACAGCATAAAAGGAAAGAATGCACAGATTAAGAAAAGGACGAGATATTTTCAGGAGCTTCATTTTAATAACTTACTTTAAAAGATCTGTAAATTCTAACACCAGAGCTGTCCAACTGTTCATGCCCTCGACTCCACCACTCACAGCATTTATAGTCCAACAATATTTTAGGACTGTATAAAGGCAAAAAGCAGTTGAAACTGCCAAGTTCCCATTATGAAGTGTCCAAGTTAGGGGATATGACTGAATTCTTACAAAGTCTTGGATAAGATGTTAGCATCCGTTGACATGCCCTTGAATCTGAAAGCAGCTCATTTCAGCTTCCGTCTTTAAAAGCTGAACCTCGCCCCTCTCCCACATCAACATGAATCAATTGCCAGGCACCTCACAAGTCTTAGATGAGCCGAAATTTAAAGCTTTCTATTAACCTTTACTTAACCACTGGCCACCTTCCTTCCTACATAAGGTGACAGTGTTGTCTGTAGAGGGTTCTAGCTCCCGGCTATGTGGATTTGAAATCCAACTGTCACTAACTGTGTGACCTTGGTTAAGTGACTTCATCTCAGTTTCTTCTGTAAAATAACAAAAACAAAAAAAATTGCAAATATCTTGCAATGGGTGGGAGAATTAAATGAAATCTGTCTTAAGTGCTCAAAGAATGCCTGACACACAGTAAGCGCTTTAGAAGCGTCAGTTATGATTACAGTAATAATTCATGGACGCAAAGTGCTTAAGACAGAGCCTGGCACATTGGAAAGATAATGATAGCGTCAGCCTCGTTGGCTTCCTCTTCAGATGCACGCTCAGGAAAAGAGCGCGGAGACCTCTCCAAGATTAGAACAACTTAAAAGGATTTGGAGGGCAGGCGAAGACAGGTTCTCACACCTCTTGAGACATGAACGCTTGTTACCAAGTAACAAGAAATGGGCCCCCCAAGACCCCAGAACCACGAAAAATAAAAATAAAAGCAAGCAGGAAAAGAGCCCCCAAACCCGGCGGAACTCATGCCCTCATCAAACTGCCTTCCGAGAGGACGAGCACCGAAAAGTCCATCTCGCACAGCACGGCACACGTCGTCCAGGAGGCTGGACTGGGATCCCCAACCATCGCTCCAAAGACCCGTCCAGTGCGCGGGGGCAAACGGGTAGGGGCGGGAAACGTGGGGGTGGGGAGCGGAGTTTTCAAATTCCACGGCCGGGAGGAAGCCTGCATCCTCGTGCAATGAATGAGCGGAGCCTGGAGGGTCCGCAGCTGGCGACAAGTTGGGAATCCCGGGCTGGCCTCCCTCCGGCTGCAGTCCCCGGCCCGTGGGCCAACTCGAGGAGCTCACTCCCCACGGTGCTGCAAGCCCAACCGGCCTCCCAACTCCCCTCCCTCGAGCCCCCGGGGCCGCCTGCCGCCCTCAGGCCCGCCTCCCCCTTCAGCCGCCCGCCGCCCCCCTTACCTTCCAGCAGCCGTTGGATAATGCTGTCGATGTTGAGTTTATCTAAATCCGCCATCGCCTTCCCACCGCCGACCCTCCCGCAGCGGCGCCGCCGCCGGCTCGCGCCCGGGACTCACACCTCCTTTCCCACGCCACGAGCAGAGGCGGTGGTGGCGGCGGTGGCAGCAGCCGCGGCGGGTCCCCCCCCTGCCACCCCGCTCCCTACTTCCTCCTTCTCTCCCCACTGGAACCACGAGAAGAACAAAATGGCCGCCGACTCCTTAGACAGCCTCGGGCGGCGCACGGATGCGCGCGGGGAGTGCAGCGGCCCGGCCGGGACTTCTTTATGGGCCATAGGGGGCGCGGGAGGGGGCGGGGCCCGGGCGCTGGAGGGGGCGGGGCCCGGGCGCTGGGCGGGGCGCAGATGGCTGAGCGCAACCGCGTCCCCGCATGGGATCCTTCCGCCAAACGGGCCGAGTAAATAGGCCCGCCCCCAATGCCGGGCCCGAGCGAGAGTTGCAAAGTTGCACGCGGGAGTTGGGGCTGGGGGAGGAAATGCAGCTGTGCACACCGCCGGTTGCGGCCATCGCCGGATCTTGTGCATTGAGTCTAGATGTTTGCAGACCTGGACAGGTGGGAGCTCACCGAGGGATTTCGGGGGTCCTGGAACTTACCCTTTAAGATAAATCTGGGGTGAGGATGGAAAAGAATAATAAAGAAAAGAAGGTTGACTTATTTTGGATTCAGATATACTGGAACTTGGGACAAGAGAAAGGTTTATTTGGTAACTAAAAAGAAAAAACCCTCTTTCAGATAAGTCAAAATGTAACAGTTAACTCATTGTGAGTGGTGGGTATATGGGTATTTGTATATATATTTTTTGTGCACTTCTGTAACTTTAGGGGTAAAAAATCCATACTCAAAGAAAATTTTATCATTTCTGTCCCTTGGATTTATCTTCCCTGAACTCGGAAAGTTATGTAATCATCGGGACGGTTATCCCGATTCTAGCCAGGGCAAAGTTGAACGAGCGCGTGCAGCAGTTAAAAGGGGAATTTGCAGATTTCACGCGTGCAGGCCGGGGGCGGGAAGAGAAGATGCAAGCTGCGCGGGCGGTCCTGGGTTCTGCAGACACCCGAAGAAACTTTGGCCCATTCCTCTCTGGCTTCCCAGCCTCCCCGAGGGCACTCCTATCCAAGGGGCCCCCAAACTGTGCCACCTCCAGGGGCTGCGCGTCGACTTTGGCTGGGTTTGGAAGTACAGCCCACACTCAGCAAACAGATCGGCTCTCTTTCCTGACCTTTCCATGTACGTTGCTTCCTGCAGCGCTTTACATTTTGCAAAGCCCCCTCTCTCCGAGAAATTCATTTTGTTTCCCAAGGCGTGCAGGATGCACGAATCCCCATCTCAGTATGCCACGAGGTAATTGCACCACCCAGGCATCCTCTTCCAAAGCAATGTCCTCAGGGTGCGGGCTCCATGTCCCCTTACTTGGGCCCCCTCGCTACTGGTGCAGGGCCCTTGAGTTTCAGAACTCAGCCTATCGATCCACTTTCCTCAGGCACTAACTCACTTTCCCCTGCTACAGCTCTGTCCACCAGAAGTCACATAAGTGCCATTTGTCAGGCCAAGGCAATGAGCCCAGTTGGTGACATTCGGAGTTGGTGCCCAGCGCTGCTGTGAACATCTGGCTATGGAGGTCAGGGGGGGCTCTTGCTGGAGTCCACAGGACTTTGGGCTACTCCAGGGCAGGGTGCATCATCGGAATGGCATTTAGGGTAGAAATATGAAAGACAGCAATTCATTCAGCAGACAAATATTTATGGAGTACCCACTCTGTGCCAGGCATTGTTCTAGACAGGGAAGCAGGGGTGATCAAGACAGACAAGGCTTTTTTCTATGGAGAGTCATTTAGTCAGTCAGATGGTAAGCAAAGATGCAAATAAAAATATCAGCTTCTGATAAGTGCAGTGGAGAAAAATAAACAAGAAAAAAAATGCTACTGTGTTCATTTCTTAGTATGTGCCAAAAAATGATCTCATTGAATCCCCAAGATAATCCTAGGAATTATGTCCTATTCCTATCATCCCCATTTACAGATGAAGAAAGTGAGGCACAGAGAGGCTAGGGTGGTTGCTGAAGGTCACACAGCCAGGAAGTTACAGAGTCAGGGCTGGAACTCAGGACAGCCTGAAACCACAGCCCTCGTTCATATTCAGTAAAACCCGGCAGTGAACCCCCAGCAGTGTTCACATCCCTGGCACATACTGGGCACATATCAATTTGGAACCCAGTGGAATGACTGAATTGTGTCTCTGCCCACAATACGAGTGCCATAATTTTCCTCATGCAAAATGGCAGGTGTGTTAACCTCTTGCAACATCATCAGGGCTGGAGGAGGACTTCAGACTGAGCTGGGACATGGGGAGAGCCTCTGTCCCCAGGTTGTTTTCTGCTGGGCAACTCCCCTCCAGAGTTCAGTTCTGCTGGCACATGCCTAAGTGATTAGCTGGCTCTGAGCCTGAGCATGGCATAGCTCACCAGGGTGGGCCCTCACAGCTCCCAGGAACCAGCAAATAGCCGGTGGAGGAAAGCACTGATTCCCTATTCGCCTTTTTCTGCCATTATCAGCACCAGTGGCTTTCCAAAGATGAGTTGATATAAGCATCCTGTCAGAAAGGATACAGCCTAATAAATGGAATGTCCCTTCCCCTCTCTAGGCCTCAGTTTGCCTATCTGTCAAATGAGGAGAGTGGATTAAAGTGCACTTTTCAAACTGTCTTTCCTGGCTCTACAGAGCTTTCTTAGGGGCTGCTGAAGATGATGGGGAGCTGATGATTAGAAGAGAGTGGCTGTGGCCAAATATTGGAAACTCAATAGTGTCTCTGAGGATACTTAGGCTTTGAGGGGGGATCCCAGTGCCTAAAGGGACCTGGCTGATAATACGAAAGAATTCAGCCTCTGGGTAGGGACTGGAGCAAACTGAGCCCACGTTTCATCCAAGGGGGCGGCCACTTCTCAGCTCCAGTCCCCTGGGGCCACTTGTGGCCAGATCCTCTGAGTTTTTGGTAAAACTTGAACATATGGATTTTTATGTTAAATGTTCCAATTTTAAAAAGTCGGTCATGAACTCAAAATCTTCTAAAACAGTGTGAGGCAGACAAAGCATATCTGTGGGTTACATTTGGCCCTAGGCCAGCAATTTGGAACTCTGTTCTAGAAGGCTGGGGATGAACTTTATTCTCTCCGTCCTTCCAATTTAATGAGCATTAGGATTGTGGTGAGATGATTGGAAGAAGTGTTGGTGGCTGGGCGCAGTGGCTCACGCACTTTCGGAGGCCGAGGTGGGTGGATCATTTGAGGCCAGGAGTTCGAGACCAGCCTGGACAATATAGTGAAACACCATCTGTACTAAAAATACAAAAAGTAGCTGGGCGTGCTGGTGGGTGCCTGTAATCCCAGCTACTCCAGAAGCTGAGGCATGAGAATCGCTTAAGCCCAGGAGGCGGAGGTTGCAGTGAGCTGAGACCGTGCCACTGCACTCCAGCCTGGGCGACAGAATGAGACTCCGTCTCAAAAAAAAAAAAAAAAGAAAAGAAAGAAGTGTTGAGTGTTGGTGATGAAGTTTGCCTGCAAATCTAGACCTCCCTGGATATTCCAGGGGTTTTATACAAAGGAGGGAACCATGGGGAAAAAATACGGGTGAATGCTCTTTGACAACGTCCACAGTTCTATCTCTGCATCCTGTAGTGTTACCGGCAGACACTTGTATTCTTTTGGGCAACGTTTGTCGAGGCCGTACTGGGTGTCAGGCACTGTGTGAGAAGCTGGGGACATAGCAGTGAATAAGCCAGACTTAGTCCCTGTCCTCATGGAGCTCCCAGTCTAGAGAAAGACACAGAGGGGAACAGATAAACCATTTGAGGAGGATAATTTCAGAGAGTGGCGATTTCGTGAGAAAATTAGAAAGGGTCATGTGACCACATAGGAGGACTCTGAGGATTTGACATTTGAGTCAAGATGTGAAGGATGAAAAAGAGAAAGTCATGGGAAGGATTGGCATAGGGGAAGAATATTCCCAACAGAAGGACCACCAAGTGCAAAGGCCCTGAGGCAGGAACAATCTTCCAGTGTTGGAGGAATGGGAAAAAGGCCAGAGTGGCTAGAGCACAGTGTGAAAGGTAGGAGAAGAGTGTCAGAAGTGGGGGTTGGAAGGCTGGGCGCGGTGGCTCACGCCTGTAATCCTAGCACTTTGGAAGGCCGAGGCAGGCAGATCACTTGAGGTCAGGAGTTTGAGACCAGCCTGGCCAACATGGTCAAACACCGTCTCTGTTAAAAATATGAAATTTAGCCGGGAGTAGTGTCGGGTGACTGTAATCCTAAGCTACTTGGGAGGCTGAGGCAGGAGAATCGTTTGAACCCGGGAGGTGGAGACTACAGTGAGCCGAGATCGCGCCATTGCATTCCAGCCTGGGTGACAGAGAGACTCTATCTCAAAAAAAAAAAAAAAAAAGAAGAAGAAGGTGGGGATTGGAGAAGTGGCCAGAGGCCAGATCACTCAGGGTTTTTGTTTTTTTTTCTCTCTTGTTGCCCAGGCTGGAGTGCAATGGCACGACCTTGGCTCATGTAACCTCTACCTCCCGGGTTCAAGCGGTTCTCCTGCCTCAGCCTCCCAAGTAGCTGGGATTACAGGTGCCTGCCACCATGCCCCGGCTAATTTTTGTATTTTTAGTAGAGACAGGGTTTCACCATGTTGGCCAGGCTAATCTCAAACTCCTGACCTCAGGTGATCTGCCCGCCTCGGCCCACTCAGGGTCTTTTAAACCACAAGAAGACGTTCGGATTTTATTCTAAGCTTAATGGGAAGTCACTGCAGGGTTTTAGGTAGAGGAGTAACATGATCTTATTTCACTTTTTTTTTTAGAGACAGGGTCTTGCCCTGTTGCTCAGGCTAAACTACAGTGGTGATATCATGGCTCACTGCAGCCTTGACCTCCTAGGCCCAAGTGATTCTCTCGCCTCAGCCTTCCAGGTAACTGGGACTACAGGTGCACACCACCACACCCAGCTAATTTTTAAGTTTTTTGTGGAGACAGTGGTCTTGCTATGTTGCCCAGGCTGGTCTTGAGCTCCTGGGCTCAAGCGGTTTGCCCGCCTCCTCCTCCCAAAGTGCTGGGATTATAGGCATGAGCCACTGTGCCCAGCCTGACTTCATGACTTCATGTTTTTGTTGTTTTTTTTTTTTTTGAGACGGAGTCTCACTTTGCTGCCCAGGCTGAAGTGCAGTGGCATGATCTCGGCTCACTGCAACCTCTGCCTCCTGGATTCAAGCAATTCTCCTGCCTCAGCCTCCCTAGTAGCTGGCATTACAGGAATGCACCACAACACCCAGCTAATTTTTTGTATTTTTAGTAGAGACGAGGTTTCACCATGTTGGCCAGGCTGGTCTTGAACTCCTGACCTCAAGTGATCCACCCGTCTCGGCCTCCCAAAGTGCTGGGATTACAGGCGTGAGCCACCGCCCCCAGCCTCATGTTTTTTTTAAATAAGCTTTTTATTTTGGAATAGTTTTAGGTTTACTGAAATGTAGCAAAGATGGTACAAAGAGTTCCCATATGCCTTTAGGTTTCCCCTTAATGTTAACATCAACAGCCAAGGCATTGCTCATAATTATTTCCTAACACCTAAATCATAAAGAAATGGTGGATCAGGCTGGGCGTGGTGGCTCATGCCTGTAATCCCAGCACTTTGGGAAGCTGAGATGGGCGGATCGCTTGAACTCAGGAGTTTGAGAACAGCCTGGGCAACATGGCAATACCCTGTCTCTACAAAAAATACAAAAAATTAGCCGGGCTTGGTGGTGTGCACCTATAACTCCCAGCTACTCAGGAGGCTGAGGCAGAAGAATTGCTTGAGCCCCGGAGGTTGAGGCTGCAGTGAGCTGTGACTGTGCCATTGCATTCCAGCTGGGGCGACAGAGTGAGACCCTGTCTCCCCCACAAAAAAATGATGGATCATAAAATATCACATCACATATAACCCAGAGAGCATCTTCTTCAAAATAAGGTCTGATTGTGTGTATGTGTTTTGAAAGATCGGGTTTTGTTTTGTTTTGTTTCTGAGATGGAGTTTCGCTCTTGTCGTCCAGGCTGGAGTGCAATGGCGCGATCTCATCTCACTGCAACCTCCGCCTCCCAGGTTCAAGCGATTCTCCTGCCTCAGCCTCCCAAGTAGCTGGGATTACAGGCATGTGCCACCACGCACAGCAAATTTTGTATTTTTAGTAGAGACGGGGCTTCTACATGTTGATCAGGCTGGTCTCGAACTCCTGACCTCAAGTGATCCACCCACCTTGGCCTCCCAAAGTGCTAGGATTATAGGTGTGAACCACCGAGCCTGGCCAAGATCAGGTTTTACTATGGTGCCCAGGCTGGACACGAACTCCTGGACAGTTACTTCCTACCCAAGTAACTGGGACTATAGGTGCACACCTCCATGCTTAGCTCTGATTGCATTTTTTTTTTTTTTGAGACAGAGTCTTACTCTGTCACCCAGGCTGAAGTGCAATGGCATGATCTCGGCTCACTGCAACCTCCACCTCCCGGGTTCAAGCGATTCTCCCACCTCAGCCTCCCGAGCAGCTGGGATTACAGGCACCTGCCATCATGCCTGGCTAATGTTGGCCTGGCTGGTCTCGAACTCCTGACCTCAGGTGATCCTCCCACCTCGGCCTCCCAAAGTGCTGGGATTACAGGCGTGAACCACCGCGCACAGCCTACATTTTTAAAAGATTTCTTTGGTTTCCGTGAGGAGAATGGACTGTAGGTGAGAAGGAGAGGAAGCTATGAGACTAGAGAGCAGGCTGTTGAAAAATGTGGCTTTAGCCGGGAGCGGTGGCTCATGCCTGTAATCCCAGCACTTTGGGAGGCTGATGCAGGCGGATCACTTGAGGTCAGGAGTTCGAGGCCAGCCTGGCCAACATGGCGAAACTCATCTCTACATCTAATACAAAAATTAGGCGGGCATGGTGGTGGGTGCCTGTAATCCCAGCTACTCCAGAGGCTGAGGCAGGAGAATCTCTTGAACTCAGGAGACGGAGGTTGCAGTGAGCCAAGATTTCAGCACTGCACTCCAGCCTGGGTGACAGAGTGAAATTGTGTAATATATATATGTGTGTGTGTGTATATATATATATACACACATGTATATATGTATGTGTATATATGTGTATATATACACATACATACATATATATGTACATATATACACATATACACACATCTGTATGTATACACATACACACACATCTGTATGTATGTATACACATATATACATATATGTATATATGTATAAAATATAAAGTATACACATGTATAAAGTAAATGTCCATTTTATATATTTATATATATAAATATATGTATTTATGTTTATAAATGTATATATATTTATATTTATAAACGTATATATACTTATAAATGTATATATATTTATACTTATAAATGTATATATATTTATACTTGTAAATGTATATATATTTATACTTGTAAATGTATATATTTATACTTGTAAATGTATATATATTTATACTTGTAAATGTATATATGTGTGTGCGTGTGTGTGTGTGTGTATACATATATTATATATATATGGTGGCTTTACTGATTAGTCTTAGTTTTCTAATCTGCAAAATGGGGACATTATTACCCATCTCAGAATGTGATCGTGAGAATGTATCTTCCAATGTACTTAGGGTGCTAACAGGAATAATGATGACAATAACAGTGATAATAGCTGGCATTTATTGAGTGTTTTCTGTGTGCCAATCTCTATGCTCATGGCCTTTCATGCATGCTCATTTTATTTTATTTTTGAAACGAAGTCTTACTCTGTCACCCAGGGTAGAATGCAGTGGCATGATCTCCGTTCACTGCAACCTCTGCCTCCTGGGTTCAAGCGATTCTCCTGCCTCACCCTCCAGAGTATAGAGTAGCTGGGAGGACAAGCATGCACCACCACACCTGGCTAATATTTTTGTAGGCTGGTCTTGAACTCCTGACCTCAGGTGATCCACCTGCCTCGGCCTCCCAAAATTCTGGGATTACAGGCATGAGCCACCATGCCTGCCCTAATTTTTCTGATTTTTTTTTTTTTTTGTAGAGATAGGGTCTCGCTATGTTGCCCAGGCTGATGTTGAACTCCTGGGCTCAAGCGATCCTCCTGTCTCAGCCTCCCAAAGTGCTGGGATTACAGGCTTGAGCCATTGCGCCCTGCATGCATGCTCATTTTAATCTTCACACTATTTTAGGAGTTAGGTTTCGCCAAGGGAAATAATTTATAACCCAGCTGGGGAGGGCCAGAGCCAGGATTTAAACCCAGGGAATCTGATGTCACACTTCTTCCTCCAAACACAGAAGTTATGTTCTTAGGGATCAGGGAGAGCAGATTCTTTGGGATGTTCCCAGGAGCCTTCTTGGAGCAGGGGGATTTAGATGGGCTGTTCAAAACCTCTTGCACCAGCCTTGGCCTTCACAGAGCCTTCATTGTCGTTGGGTGTGTCTTTCTTTGAGAAGGCCCCAAATACACTTTCATCTGGAATTATCCAACAGTGAAACTAGGATGATTATCGCCTTGCTAAATGTTCCTTAGCATCACAAAATGACTCACTCTGTGGTCGGGAAAGAAACAAGCTATCCCAGCATCTGGAGGGTGGATCGCACTGCCATTTGGAACAAAGTCTGGCAAAGGGAGGCTCACTTTAGAGCAGGGATTGTTGACCTGGGCGCTATTGACGTTTTGGGCTAGATCGTTCTCTGTCGAGCGGGTTCTGTCCTGTGTACTACATGGTGTTTAGCGGCATCCCTGATTTCTACCCACCAGATACAAGTAGCATGCCCCTCTTCTCCAATCATGACAATAAAAGATGTCTTCTGGCCAGTGTGGTGGCTCACACCTGTAATTCCAGCATTTTGGGAGGCCAAGGTGAGAGGATTGCTTCAAGCCCAGGAGTTTGAGACTAGCCTGAACAATGTAGTGAGACCCCATTCCTTAAAAAACATGTTTTGGCTGGGCACGGTGGCTCACGCCTGTAATCGCAGCGCTTTGGGAGTCCAAGGCAGGTGGATCCCTGAGGTCAGGAGTTCGAAACCAGCCTGGCCAACATGGTGAAACCCCATCTCTACTAGAAATACAAAAATTAGCTGGGTGTGGTGGTGGACGCCTGTAGTCCCAGCTACTCAGAAGGCTGAGGCAGGAGAATCACTTGAACCTGAGAGGTGGAGGCTGCAGTGAGCTGAGACAGCACCACTGCACTCCAGCCTGGGTGACAGAGTGAGACTCCATCTCAAAAAAAAAAAAAAAAGAAAAAGAAAAAAACATTGTAATGAACTATTTAGAACTTGGAGCGAAGTATAGATTGGTAATGAAAAAAATGCAATGAACTATTTAAAGCTTAAAGTACTTGCATATAGATACCCCTCTTCACACTCCAGAGATTCCAAATGTTAACATTTGGCCATATTTGACTTAGTTTTTTTTCTTTATTTTTTTTTTAGGTAAGAAAGGAAATGAAGTATTATGGTTGACACTTTTTTTTTTTTTTTTTTTTTTGAGACGGAGTCTTGCTCTGTCGCCCAGGCTGTAGTGCAATGGTGCGATCTTGGCTCACTGTAACCTCCACCTCCCAGGTTCAAGCGATTCTCCTGCCTCAGCCGCCCAAGTAGTTGGGATTACAGGTGCCCACCACACCTGGCTAATTTTTGTATTTTTAGTAGAGACTGGGTTTCGCCATGTTGGTCAGGCTGGTCTTAAACTCCTGACCTCAAGTAATCCACCCACCTTGGCCTCCCAAAGTGCTGGGATTACAGGCGTGAGCCACCATGCCCAGTCTACTCTCTTTGAATCCCATCTCCATCCTATTCGCTTCCCCTTTCCTTCCCCAGAGGTAGCACCAGGCAGCCTAATATTGTTGTGTAGGTGACTATGTTTTCACTAGGTTACAACATCTAATAAACAAACTAACAGTCAACAAGGAAGAAAACCAACAGCCTTAACCCTCAGGGGCAGGTGGAATGAGTTTTCATAAAGCCAGATTTATTTCGTTTAAAAGACCGGCTTTGCTTCTGAGAGCAGGACATTCTGACTTTATTTATATTAAAATGTCCTTCCAAGTAAGAAAGGTGGTAATAGTGAGAGATAGCTATTTTTTAAATGTCCCATTTGGCAAAAAAAAAAAAAAAAAAAAAAAAAATCCAATCATAGGATGACGGAGAAATAACTTGCAGCATGTTTAGGCGGTGATGGAAAGGAAGGAAACTGAGCTACGTGTATCAACATGGATTCATCTCAAAGCTAATATCAATGAAGCAAAAGCCAGCTGGGGGAAGCATTTGGGCTGGATGATGCTACTTACATAAAAGTTTAAAATGGGAAAACAATGTCACATATTTAGGGCAGGGTTTTCAAACTTTTTGGGGGCCGCAATGTGCTTTAAGAAAGATATTTTAGGCGGGGCATGGTGGCTCATGCCTGTAACCCCAGCATTTTGGGAGGCCAAGGCAGGCAGATCATTTGAGGTCAGGAGTTTGATACCAGCCTGGCCAACATGGTGAAAACTGTCTCTATGAAAAATACAAAAAATTAGCTGGCACACACCTGTAATCCCAGCTACTCAGGAAGCTGAGGCAGGAGAATTGCTGGAACCTGGGAGACAGAGGTTGTGGTGAGCCAAGATCCTGGCCACTGCACTCCAGCGTAGGTGACAAAGCTAGACTCTGTCTCAAAAAAAAAAGAAAGGAAAAAAAAAGATTTTAGGCTGGGCACGGTGGCTCATACTTGTAATCCCAGCACTTTGGGAGGCCGAGATGGGAGAATGGCTTGAGGCCAGGAATTTGAGACAGGCTGGTCACAATAGTGAGATTCCATCCCTATTTTTTAAAAAAATAATATGGACCAGGCACGGTGGCTCACGCCTGTAATCCCAGCACTTTGAGAGGCCAAGGTGGGCAGATCACTTGAGGTCAGGAGTTTGAGACCAGCCTGGCCAATATGGTGAAACCCTGTCTCTGCTAAAAAGACAAAAATTAGCTGGGCATGGTGGGCGCCTGTAATCCCAACTATTCGGGAGGCTGAGGCAGGAGAATCTAAAAAAAGACACCTATTTGGAGCCCGGCAACATAGTGAAACCCTGTCTCTAAAAAAAAAAAAAAAAAAAAAAAAATTTGGCTAAAAGTAGTGGCCCACACCTGTAGTCCTAACTACTCAGGAGGCTGAGGCAGGAGGCCTTGAGCCCAGGATGTGGAGGCTGCAGTGAGCTGTGATTGTGCCACTGCACTCCAGCGTGGGCAACTGAGACCCTGTCTCAAACAACAACAACAACAACAAAAAGAATATGTCCATCCATTCACCTGTTGGCAGGCATTTGGGTTATTTCCAGTGTTTGTATTATCTATCATTTTAATGCCTGAGATAGTTTATCAAGAAATAAATATACTGTTTGAGATGGTTTCCAAAAAGAAAAGAAACAAAAAAGCAAAGGGAAAAGAAAACACAAAAAACAAACAAACAAAATAAACACATCCTGTTATAACCCCCCCAACACACACACATTATTCTGGCAATTTTCCTGGTGTCCAATCCTCAAGTCAAGTCTTCCTTGCCAGCACTCTGGAAAACTACTGAAAGCTGTTCACAGCGGAAGTTGATGATCGGCCACTGGGCAGAGAAACCAGTGGTCCCCAGAGACCATCTAAGTTTCTGCACTGACCCGGCCTTTTCTCCTAGGAAATATTGATCAAAATAAAGGGGCTACTGGCTTGACTTAGAAAGCTGTCTTTAGACAGCTGGAACTGGAACATCTAGCCTTCCAGTTCCCTTGCTGGGCATCTAAGCCCCACATTGATGATTTCTGGAATAAGTGCTTTCCACCATCCCTTCCATCTGCCCACATACTGGCCTGCACCCAACCCTGCAGGGAAGCTCCATCCAGATTTTAGGGCCCTCCAGAGCCAAGAATAGGCTTCCAGGGCCTGCTCAGGGCAAATTGTCTTTTCTGCTTATGTGTGTTCAAACTTCTTCTTCCTTCTTCCTCCTTGCCTTCTCCTCCTCCTCCTCCTCTTCTTCTTCTTCTTTGCAAGTTCTCTCTGTATTGCCCAGGCTGGAGTATAGTGGTATGATCTTGGTTCACTGCAGCCTCAACCTCCTGGGCTCAAGCAATCCTCCTACCTCAGCCTCCTAAATAGCTGAGACCACAGGCACGTGCCACTACACCCTGTAAATTTCAAAAGTTTTTTTTGTAGAGAAGGGGTCTCACTCTGTTGGCCAGGCTGGTCTCGAACTCCTGGGCTCAGGCGATCTTCCTGCCTTAGCCATCCAAACTGCTGAGATTACAGGCATGGCCTCATGTTCTTATAGCCTTGAAATTAGAATAAAATCATGGCCTTAGAGCCAGTTGGGAGACTAAGGCTAACCCTAGAGAGGCCAGAGGCTGTGAGTAGGCCCAGAGCAGGCAGCTCTCATCTCTGGCTGCCCACTCTCTGGGTTAACCTCGGAAGACCATTCTCTGCCACTTCCAAGTCTTGTTTGGCTGCATTTGGCTTGGCCAGGTTCTTGCCAGTTACATGGAATCAGACTACTGGAATCAAACTCCAGTTCTGTCCCCTTAGTGGTTGGGTGGCTTTGGGCAGGTGATGTGACATCTCCAAGCTTCAGTTTTGTCATCTATAAAGATAGTACAGAATGGAATGAAATAATGTAAGGGTGTGCTTCGCCTGCGACCAGACACATAATATGGGGATTGTATTTTCCGTATTTTCTAAAATTAGCCATGACAGTATTTCCAGTCTCACATGTTCTTCTAGAACCTTACCACTCCCCTAGCAAGAAATGGAATCTATGGTCCCTCCCCTTACCTGCGGGATGGGGTACGGTGGATGTCATGCTATGCAGCTCTGGAGACTTGGTCTCAGAAGGTAATATAGCTTCCATCCAGCTTTCCTGTTTTCTTGGGATACTTGCTCCTGGAACCCTGCTGCAGTGCTGGGAGGAGGCCAAGGTCACATGAAGAGCGTCTGCGTAGGTGACCTAGGTGACAGCCCCAGGTGAGGTCCCAGTTAACAGCCAGCATCCACCACCGTTGCACATGTGAGTGAAGAATTTTCAAATGACTCTAGCACCCTTCCAACCTCCCAGGGGATGCTGAGCAGGACAGGTTAGCTTTCCCCACAGAGTCCTGGTACAATTACAGATATATGAGCTCAATAAATAACTGGTATGGCTTTAAGCCACCAAACATCCAGGTGTTTTGTTATGCACAATAGATGAGCAGAACACGCAAAGGCCACAATCACCCTTGGTGCATCTCTCCATGCCTCTCTCTTGCTCACACTTCACACTCCCTATCCAGCAGTAAATCCAAACACATTCCAAATCCAACCCCCCCCCGCCCTTTTTTTTTTTCTCTTTGAGACAGAGTCTCACTTTGTCACCCAGGCTGGAGTGCAATGGCACAATCTCGGCTTACTGCAAGCTCCGCCTCCCAGGTTCAAGAGATTCTCCTGCCTCAGCCTCCCGAGTAGCAGGATTAAAGGTGCATGCCACGATGCCCAGCTAATTTTTGTATTTTTAGTAGAGACGGGGTTTCACCATGTTGACCAGGCTGATCTCGAACTCCTGACCTCAAGTGATCTGCCTGCCTCAGCCTCCCAAAGTGCTGGGATTACAGGTGTGAGCCACGGCGCCCGGCCTAAATCCAACCCCTTTAAGTCCAAGCCACCATCATCTCTTGCTGGGAGGACTAAATGATTTCTTCTCTTGCCTGCCTACTGTCTCTTCTCCATGCACAGCCCAGAACGATCTCAGAAACAGAAATAAGATGTCACTCCCTGCTCCAAAGGTCCAATGGCTTCTTGTCAAACTTGGAATAAAATCCAAACTCCTGACTGCGACCTACAAAAGTCAGTGCTCCAAGAAGAAGAAGGAAAAAAAAAAGCCCTGATTTATAGCTTTTGCCAATTTTCATAGTGTTAATACTCCCATCACAATCAATTTCAAGCTTACCAATTTCAGGCAGCAGCATCTGGCATCTGGCTCCCAGGAGCCAGGGGAGTCTCTGACTCATCTCCAACCTCAAACTCTTCCACCTTCTTGCTCCTGCCTTGAGCCACACTGGCCTTGCTGTGCCTGAAGCATCCCAAGCAAACCCCCATCCTAGAGCCATTCCTTCCACAGGAATGCTCTTCCCCAGCTATTTATTCCTTCATTCCATTCAGATCTCTGTTCAACTGTCACCCTGGCAGAGAGGGTTTCCCTGACCACCGGAATAAAATGCTCCCTAGCCCTCAATCCTTCCATCACACTTTTTCTTTTTGAAACAGGGTTTGGTACAGTCACCCAGACTGGAGTGCAGTGGCACGATCAGGGCTCACGGTAACCTCATCCACCCAGGCTCAAGTGATTCTGCAGCCTCGGCCTCCTGAGTAGCTGGAACCACAAGCACAGAGCACTGCACTCGGCTAATTTTAAAATTTTTGGGCCTGGCGCGGTGGCTCATGCCTGTAAACCCAGCACTTTGGGAGGCCGAGGCGGATGGAACACTTTAGGTCAGGAGTTCAAGACCAACCTGGCCAATGTGGTGAAACCCCGTGTCTACTTAAAAAAATTAGCTGGGTGTGGTGGTGCATGCCTGTAATCCCAGCTACTCGGGAGGCTGAGGCAAGAGAACCCCTTAAACCCGGGAGGCAGAGGTTGCAGTGAGCCGAGATTGCTCCATTGCACTCCAGCCTGGGCAACAAGAGTGAAAAACTGTCTCAAAAAAAAAAATTTTTTTTTTTTGTAAAGACAGAGTCTCACTATATTGTTCAGGCCGGTCTCGAACTGCTGGGCTCAAGCAATCCTCCTGTCTTTGTCTCCCAAAGTGCTGGGATTATGGGCATGAACCACTGCACCCAGCCCCCTTCCCATTTTTCTGTTTTTCTCCATGTGATTCTTCACTGCCTGACATTGTGTTATGTCTTTGATTGCCTGTTTTCTGTTTCCACGTGGGTGGGGATTTTTGTCTGCTTGCTATTCTTGCTTTTGTGCCTGGGCCCGTGCCTGGCACATACAAGGTATTCAGTAAAAAATTCTTGAATAGGCCAGGCATGGTGGCTCATGCCTGTAAATCCCAGTACTTAGGGAGGCCAAGGTGGAAGAATGGCTTCAGGCTAGGAGCTCAAGACCAGCCTAGCAACATAGTGAGACCCTGTCTCTACAAAAAAATTTAAAATTAGCCAGGTGGGGTGGGTGCACTGTAGTACCAGCTACTTACGAAGCCGAAGCAGGAGGATCGCTTGAGCCCAGAAGTCAAGGATGCGGTGAACAGTGATCATGCCGCTGCTCTCCAATTTGTGTGATAGAGTGAAACTCTGTTTCTAAAATAACAACAAAAAAAGTTGAATAAACATAAACAAATGGGCCAGGTGCAGGCTCACGCCTGTAATCCCAGCACTTTCGGAGGCCTAGGTTGACGGATCATGAGGTCAGGAGTTCGAGACCAGCCTGACCAACATGGTGAAACCCCGTCTCTACTAAAAATACAAAAATTAGCCAGGTGTGGTGGCACGTGCCTGTAATCCCAGCTACTCGGGAGGCTGAGACAGGAGAATCACTTGAACTCGAGAGGTGGAGGTTGCAGTGAGCCGAGATCACGCCACTACACTCCAGTCTGGGCAACAGAGCGAGACTCCATCTCAAAAACAAACAAACAAAAAACAACAAAAACACAACATTATAGTTGTAAAATTGGGATAATAGTTGGGGAAGAATTGAATGAAGTAATGCAGGTAAGAGCTTAACACAGCACTGGGCTCCCAGTGGGTATGCGTGGGAACCTTGCTATTCACCTCACATCACAGGCCTGGCAGGGCCTGGGAGCTGATGGCTGTTTCTAGGAGGAAGAAAGGCCATTTGTGGGCCATCTCACGGGGCAGAACAGGCCTCTCTCTGGCCCAAGAGTGCCCATCACTGCAGCCGCCGGGGCAAGGGACAGTCTCTTTTTGACTTTGCTGCTTTATAGATTAAGGAAGAGAAACCACCCGAGGGAGTTAAGGCTGGAAAAAAAAATCTTAATTATTTTGACAGTGGGAGTGGGAGAGGGAAACAAATGGCTCATTATTGATTTAATTTTCCAAAGTCCAAAATCAGCATGGCAACATCACCAAGGTAAATAAAAATTAAAAGAATAATCATCCCTCTCCTTTCATACTCATTCTATGTATTTGTTGCTGTTTATTTCTTTGTTTTGTGCTTATGTTTAAAGATAAAAACAAAATAACCTGTTGCAAGTTGGGTTTTCCAGAAGCAGGCACTGAGATGTATGACAGGCTTTGAAAATATACAATGATTTATTTATTGTTCAGTGTAAAAAGTCACGTTGCAGAGCAGTATATAAGTCATAAACCTGTTTGTGTAAAATAAAAAAGTATGAGGTGGTTATATATCCTTGTCTAGGCAGAGAAAATTTCCGGTAGGGGGCTGGGCAGAGTGGCTCACACCTGCAATCCCAGCGCTTTGGGAGGCTGAGGCAGGTTGATCGCTTGAGCCCAGGTTTTCAAGACCAGCCTGGGCAACATAGCAAGACCCTGTGCAGTGGCTCACGCCTGTAATCTCAACATAGCGAGACCTCAACAATAAAATAAAAATCTCAACAATAAAAATAAATTTAACAAAAAGAAAATTTCTGGCAGGATATACACAAAATGTCAACAGTGGGGAGTGTGGCTGGCTGGGAATAGGTGCTGGTGTTCCCCTTGTTATCTTCTATACTCTTTGAATTGTTTTAAAAGTATCAGACAGATATTACTTACATAATAAAAATTTCAGATTAAAATGTTGGTCATGATTTTTGGTCTACCTTTTAAAAATTTTTAGCAGTTTACTGTCCATGTTTGAATAATGCAAATACAATATGTGCTATGGGCTGAACTGCATCCTCCCAAAATTCCAAGGTTGAAGTCTTAACCCCTAGAACCTCAGGATGTGATTGTATTTGGAGATAAGGCCTTGGAAGAGGTGACTGAGTTAGATTGGGGTCATTAGGGTAGGCCCTAATCCAATATGAATGACGTTCTTATAAGAAGAGAGATTAGGGTCCGGGTGTGGTGGCTCATGCCTGTAATCCCAGCACTTTGGGAGGCCGAGGTGGGCAGATCATGAGGTCAGGAGAGCGAGACCATCTTGGCTAACACAGTGAAACCCCATCTCTATTTAAAAAAAAAAAATTAGCGGGGCATGGTGGCGGGTACCTGTAGTCCCAGCTACTTGGGAGGCTGAGGCAGGAGAATGGTGTGAACTGGGGAGGTGGACCTTGCTGTGAGCTGAGATCGCGCCACTGCACTCCAGCCTGGGTGACAGAGCGAAGACACATTAGGCCAGGCATGGTGGTGCATGCCTGTAATCCTAATCCCAGCACTTTGGGAGGCTGAAGCAGGAGGATTGCCTCAGCCCAGGAGTTTGAGACCAGCCTGGGCAACATGGTGAGACCCCATCTCTAAAAAAAAAAAAAAAAAAAAAATTAGCCTGGTGTGGTGATGTGTGCCTATGGCTTATGGCCCTAGCTACTCAGGTGACTAAAGAAAGAAGAAAGAAGAGAGATTAGGGGCCAGGCATGGTGGCTCACTTGAGAGTGTCACTTGAGTCTGGGAGATCAAGGCTGCAGTGAGTCATGATTGCACCACTGCACTCCAGCCTGGGTGACAGAGCAGAAAAAAAAAGAGCGATTAGAACACAGCAAACACACACAGAAGAAGACCCTGTGAAGACAGGTGGAAGACGGTCATCTAAAGCCAGGGAGAGAGCCTCAGAATGAAACTGCCCTGCTGACACCTTCGTCTTGGACTTCCAGCTTCCAGAACTGCGAGGAAATAAATTTCTGTTGCTTAAGCCACCTGGCTTGTGGTATTTTGTTGTGAAAGCTCTAGCAGACAAATATAATGTGTTAAATATTTAGAAAACATGGAAACGTGGAAAGGATGAAATCACACATAATTCTACCATCCAGCAAGACCCACAGCAAGATGCTGCTTCTGGCTCAGAGTGAAGTTGCCGGGGGCTTGGTGTCCATGCTCCTCACCTCACCACTTGCCTTCGGAAAGCTGGGGGTAGATTTAGCATCTGAAGAGCCTGCCTCCACACAAATGGGATGGCAGGGCAGTTTGGCCCTTTCAGCTTGCTATGGACTTTCTATGAAAAGGTGATGCTTCCTTCTATAAGGTCATAAAATTCCATACACCAGAGAATTTGAGTGTGACATGATTTAGAGCAGGAGATGGTAACTTTTTCTGTAAAGCTCCAGATAGAAAATATTTTTGACTTTTGCAGGCCCAGTGGTCTTTGTCATGAATACTCATCTGCCAATGTAGCATGAAAGCAGTCTTTGACAATACATCAAAGAATGAATGAGTGTGGTTGTTTCCTAATAAAACTTTATTTACAAAAATGTGGTGGGCCCATGACCCTCATCAGACGGTGCTTGCTTTAGAGCAGTGATATATTTTTAAATTTAATTTAATATTTTAATTAGAAGCAATGATTACTTTAAGGAGAAAGTATCATTGCTTTCTTTTTTTTTGTTTTGTTTTGTTTTGTTTCTGAGACAAATAAAGTTTTTTTGTTTTGTTTTGTTTTGTTTCTGAGACAGAGTCTCCCTCTGTCGCCCAGGCTGGAGTGTAGTGGTGTGATCTCAGCTCACTGCAACCTTGGCCTCCTGGGTTTAAGCGATTCTCCTGCCTCAGCCTCCTGAGTAGCTGGGACTACAGGCACCCACCACTACCACTGGCTGATTTTTGTGTTTTTAATAGCAACAGAGTTTCACCATTTTGGCCAGGCTTGTCTCAAACTCCTGACCTCAAGTGATCTGCTCACCTCGGTCTCCTGAAGTGCTGGGATTACAGGCGTGAGCCACTGCACCCAGCCTGATGCTAATAAGTTTTTGTTTTTGTTTTTGTTTTTGTTTTGAGACGGAGTCTTACTCTGTTGCCCATGTTGGAGTGAAGTGGCATGATCTCAGCTCACTGCAACATCTGCCTCCCAGGTTCAAGTGATTCTCCTGCCCCAGCCACCTCAGTAGCTGGGATTACAGGTGCCCACCACCATGCCTGGCTTTTTTTGTATTTTAGTAGAGACGGGGTTTCACCATGTTGGCCAGGCTGGTCTTCAACTCCTGACCTCAAGTGATCTGCCTGCCTCGAACTCCTAAAGTGCTGGGATTACAGGTGTGAGCCACCGCGCCTGGCCGGTAATCTCTTTTTAACAAAGAGAAAGTAGACCTCAAGTCCAGTCGTTAGAAGGTGTGAAAATACCCAGTCTGAATGTAAGAAAACTGGCCTTCAAAGTGTATATATTTACAATTATCTTCTATTTATGGCACGTGACACTGATTTTACATTTATGATTTTTTTTTTCTTTTTTTTTTTTTTTGAGACAGAATCTCACTCTGTTGCCCAGGCTGCAGTGCAGTGTCACAATCTTGGCTCACTGCAGCCTTGACCTTTGGGTCTCAAGCAATCCTTCCACCTCAGCCTCCCCAGTAGCTGGGATTACAGGTGCCCGCTACCACGCCCAGCTAATTTTTGTATTTTTAGTAGAGAAAGCGTTTCACCATGTTGGCCAGGCTAGTCTCGAACTCCTGATCTCAGGTGATCTGGCTGCCTCAGCCTCCCAAAGTGCTGGGATTACAGGCGTGAACCACTGTGCTCAGCCAGTACTCTTTATTTTTCTATTAAAAAAAATTTATTGAGCACCTGCTACCTGCCAAGCCCTATTCTAGGTGGTAAGCAACAATTAAAAATAAAAAAAAATCGGCTGGGTGCGGTGGCTCACACTTTGGGAGGCTGAGGTGGGGATATCACCTGAGGTCAGGAGTTAGACCAGCCTGGCCAACATGATGAAACCCCCATCTCTATTAAAAATACTAAAAATAGAAAAATTAGCTGGGTGTGGTGGCGGGCACCTGTAATCCCAGCTACTTGGGAAGCTGAGGCAAGAGAATCACTTGAACTAGGGAGGTGGCGGTTACAGTAAGCCGAGGTTGCACCACTGCACTCCAGCCTGGGCAACAGAGTGAGATTCCGTCTTTAAAAAAAAAAAAAAAAAAGACATTCAAGTGTGGCTTGATCCAGGAGCTCAAATGATGCTATCCGGGCTGGTCTCTGTGTGTCTCTTTCTTTCCGTCACTTAGTTTAGCTTCCTTTTGTGCTAATGCCACTCTCTCAATCAGCTGTTACCCTCTGGGTGGAAAGGTGGTTGCCAGCAGCCCCCACCATCCCACCCTCACAGGCCCAAGACCAGCAGAGAAGGGAGTTACCTTTATCTTTGCAGGAGATGAAACAAAATCCTGGGCCTGACTCTCAGTGGTCCAAATGGAGACACTAATCACTAAGGCCAGAGGCCTGCGAGGCTCTGATTGGCCATGTGCAAATCACATGACTACACTGGGTGCAGAAAGTAGAATTTCCATCACTCAGACCAAATGAACCAGTAGCGTGGGTAAGAAGCTGTTCAGAGGAAAACTGAGGTATTGTTACTTGAAGAAGTGTGAATAGGTGGGGGTGCGTGGGTAAAGAAACAATGTAAGTGGTTGGAATTTGGCAGCTGAATTTAAGGGGGGTGGTGGATCTCATTTCTCTGAGTTCTAACTTGGCTATCCTTGGTTGCATCAGAACATTATTTCTGGACCAGGCACAGTGGCTCATGCCTGTAATCTGAGCACTTTGGGAGGCCAAGGTGGGAGGATCGCTGTGGCCAGGAGTTCCAGGCTGCAGTGAACTATGATGGTGCCACTGCACTCCAGCCTAGACGACAGAGCAAGATTCTGTCTCAAAAGAAAAAAAAAAAGACTAGAAAAAAATTATTACTAAAAAATTTTTGGCAGTTGTGGCCTGGTGTCCCTTGCCAAGAGATGCATTCATCAGGATGAAAAGGTCCAGCTGCGTAATGAATGAACCTAGTGGAGAGATGGGCAGGTCTACCGTGAGTGGAATGGGTGCCCACTGAGCTCAAGGGAAAGTGGGACTTGGTGTTGGGGCAGCTCATACCCTCGTGTCTGGACCAACCTCAGGGCTGATCTGACATGGATGGGTGTTTCTGATTTGTCTCTTTGCAGAAAGCAGAAGTCACCGGGCTGGCACAGAGCAGGGGTTGAGGCCTTTGACAGGAGATGGAGATAAGGTGAGGGACAGCCAGATCCCAGGGGCATGGGCAGAGGAGCCACACCCTGCAGGAGGCAGCCTGGAAACTGTCTCCTCTTTGCAAGACTTGAGAATGTTCCTCTGCGATCCCCAGAAAACACGATCTTCCACAGTGCCGTGCCCAGAGCATAAAAAATAATAAAATAAGGCCAGGCGTGGTGGCTCATGCCTGTAATCCCAGCACTTTGGGAGGCCGAACAGGTGGATCACCTGAGGTCAAGAGTTCGAGACCAGCCTGGCCAACATGATGAGACCCTGTCTCCACTAAAAATACAAAAATTAGCCAGGCTTGGTGGTGCATGCCTGTAGTCCCAGCTACTCGGGAGGCTGAGGCGGGAGAATCACTTGAACCCAGGAGGCAGAGGTTGCAGGAGCCAAGATCATGCCACTGCACTCCAGCCTGGGCGACAGAGTGAGACTCTGTCTCAAAATGAATAAATAAATAAATAAAATAGGAAGGGCGTGTACCATAGATTTCATTTTTGCTGTGTATAACAGAAACTCAAGCACTTACTGATTTGTTTTTCTCTCATATTAAAATAAGTTCATGGAGGGGTGGGGGACAACTCAGGTCTTCTGTAGGAAATCCATAGAGTCATCAGGGACCAAGTTTTTCTAACTTTTCCCTTGGCCTCCTTTTGCTTTTTTTTTTTTTTTTTGTAACAGGGTCTGTCTCTGTTGCCCAGGCTGAAGTGCAGTAGCATGATTTTGGCTCACTGCAACCTCCACCTCCCAGGGTCAAGTGATCCTCCCACCTCAGCCTCCCTAGTAGCTGGGACTATAGGCATGTACCACCATGCCTAGCTAAGTTTTGTATTTTTAGTAGAGATGGGTTTTCACCATGTTGGCCAGGCTGGTCTTGAACTCCTGGCTTCAAATGATCCACCTGCCTCAGCCTCCCAAAGTGCAAGGATTACAGGCATGGGTCACCATGCCTGGCCTTTTTTGTTTTTTTGTTTTTTAAAGACAGGGTCTTGCTCTGTCACCCAGGCTGGAGTGCAGTGGTGTGATTACAGCTTACTGCAGCCTTGACCTCCTGGGCTCAAGCAATCCTCCTGTCTCAGCCTCCTAAGCAGCTGGGACTACAGGCATGCATCACCATGTTTGGCTAATTTTTATTTTTACTTTTGTAGAGATGGGGTCTCACTGTGTTGCCCAGGCTGGTTTTGAACTCCTGGCCACAAGCAATCCTCCCTCTTTGCCTTCCACAGTGCTGGGATTACAGGCGTGAGCCACTGCGCCCAGACTCTGTCTCCTTTTGTGCGTTCTCAAGGTTGCTGGAGAGTTTTCATAGCCCATTCTAGAGAGGAACCACAAAGTCACAAAGCAGAGGGTGTGGACGTGTGATTCTATTAAAGGAGAAATGGAAGAATTCCAGTCTACCACCAGGACCAAGACAGAGTGTTAATGTTTCTTTTTAATGGCCCTCACTTCCCATCTTAGTGCTTTGCATCTTGCAGGTGTGCAATAAATATTGCTGCCTGAATTATAGCTTCCTGGCCACTCCAACATGGCAGGAGCTTCCTGCTTGCATGCGAAATTGAACACCCAACAATCACACCTAAGATTTATTGCACACTTGACTTCAAGCCTGGCACAGCGCTTAGAGAAACACCTTGCATACATCTTTTAATTTTATTTAAAGCTTTAAAAATTGTGGCTAAGTATCTTATTATTAAATAATAATTTTTATTTTTATGAGATGGGATCTCCCAGCCTGGGCAACATAGCAAGACCCTATCTCTTAAAAAAAAAATTAGCTGGGCATGGTGGCACGTGCCTGTAGTCCCAGCTACTTAGGAGTCTGAGGTGGAAGGATTGCTTAAGCCTAGCAGATCGAGGCTGCAGCAAGCTGTGATCACACCACTGCACTCCAGCCTGGGCAACAGAGTGAGACTGTATCCCCCACCCCCCCGCCAAAAAGTAAGAGATGGGGTCTTGCTATGTTGCCCAGGCTGGTCTCAAACTCCTGGGTTCAAGTGATCCTCCTGTCTCAGTCTCCTGAGTGGCTGGGATTACAGGCACATGCTACCATGCCCAGATTAATAATCATTTTTATTAGAGACTTGAGGTCCAGAGAAGTTAAGTGATTTGCCTAAGGTCACATAACAAATTGTGGACTGGGGACTTGAACCCACATCTGCCTGAGCCAAAAGGCTCTTTTCTTAACTATTAGGTGATCTTGCTTCCTTGATCCTCAAAAAACCACCAGGGCTGAGCGAGGTGGCTCATGCCTGTAATCCCAGCACTCTGGGAGGCAAGGCGGGTGGATCACCTGAGGTCAGGAGTTCGAGACCAGCCTGGCCAACATGGCGAAACCCCATCTCTACTAAAAATACAAAAAGTAGCCTAGCATGGTGGCACGTGCCTGTAGTCTTAGCTACGAGGGAGGCTGAGGCAGGAGAATCACTTGAACCTGGGAGGCGGAGGATGCAGTGAGCCAAGATGGCACCACTGCACTCCAGCCTGGGGAACAGAGTGAGACTCCCTCTCAAAACAAACAAAAAAACCCCCAAAAAAGCCTACCAAGATAAATGCACTATAACGTTCATTGCAATGTCATCAAAGCTAATGCTTATGGGAGGCTTATTTTGTGCCCAGCTGTGTTCTCAGCATTTGATATGAATCATCCGTGTAATCCTCTCTAACAGTCCTATGAAGTAAGCACTATAATTATCTCAGTTTACAGATGTGGAAGCAGAGTTATAAGGAACTTAAGTGAGTGTCCCTTGAGTGGCTGAATTAAGAATCAAACCCAGGCAGCCTGCCTGCCTGCAAAACCTGTAGCAGACACTGTCAGTGCCTCCCCCATAGCCTTTCAGTAATCGCCTTTCTGTGCCAGAAAGGTTCAAACTGTCCACTCTGCAATTGCACAACCCCAAGAGTAAGTGCCTCCTTAAATTTTGCACCCTAGTCACCTCACTTGCCTCCCTCTAGTCGTGGACCTGCTGCCAGCACCTGTACTTGGCTCTGTCTACCAGGGCTTGCTCAACAAGTCTGGGGGCAAATCAGTAGTGCCAAGAAGTTAGTTTGCCCTGGGAACATCCTTCAACCAGTGACTGACAGGGGTTGGCGGATAAATACCCCAGCTCCCTCACCCCTCAGATGGGATAACTGTATGTATGTATGTATGTATGTATTTATTTATTTAGAGACAGAGTCTCACTCTGCTGCCCAGGGTGGAGTGCAGTGGCGTGATCTCGGCTCACTGCAACCTCTGCCTCCTGGGTTCAAGTGATTCTCCTGCCTCAGCCTCCTAAGTAACTGGGATTATAGACACCTGCCACCACACCCAGCTAATTTTTGTAGTTTTAGGAGAGATGGGGTTTTACCATGTTGTTCTCGAACTCATGACCTCAAGTGATCCGCAGATGGGATAACTCTGAAGTGTGTTCTACCCAGCTCCTGGCATTCCCAAACAGAATGCCCCAGTTGCCACAGTGGTAATTTGCTTGAGAAAATACCCTTATATTAACTTCCTTCTCTTACCCTCTTCCTGATGTTTCCTGGAATTACCCTCCAAATAAACAACTTGCAGTAGAATCCTTGTCTCTGATTCTGTTCTGAGTTCAGTCAGAGCCTAAAGTTACACTCTCTACACATACTGCCTATACATGTCAATGTCTTTTGTAACTGCAAACAGAACAAGCAGCTTAGAAAAACCCTGGAAGTCACCTAAGTAGGAAACTGGCTAAGAAAATCTTTGCCGGGTGTGGTGGCTCATGCCTGTAATCCCAGCACTTTGGGAGGCTGAGGTGCGCAGATCACAAGGTCAGGAGTTCGAGACCAGCCTGACCAACATGGTATAAACCCCATCTGTACTTAAAAAAAAAAAAAAGCCGGGCGTGGTGGTATACGCCTGTAATCCCAGCTACTCGGGAGGCTGAGGCAGGAGAATTGCTTGAACCCAGGAGGTAAAGGTTGCAGTGAGCTGAAATCACGCCACTGCACTCCAGCCTGGGTGATAAAGCAAGACTCTGTCTCAAAAAAGAAAAAAGAAAAAAAAGAAAATCTTTGTGTGCATGTATATATAAGTGGTTGTATACGCATGTATATAAATGGTTGTATATGCATGCAGGTTTGCGTGCATTGGTGTGAAATTGCGTGTTCACAGACCTCTTCCACACCATAAAACTTGCTCAATGGGCCACTTCCACAACATAAAAACTTGCTTCAAAGTTCAAGGTCATCCAGTCAAGCCAAGAGCAGGCAAACTTTGAAGAGTGGACCAACTTTGCTTCCCAAACAGCCCAAGAGGAAGGACACCTATTGATAAGATAAACATGAACAAATTTGCCATTTGTTGTGAATGATCATGGTTCAAGCCAGCCTTAAGCAGCACCTCAAGCTGTGGGTTTTCTGTTCTTGTGTTGTTATTTTATTTTTTGGTGGGAGAGGCCTGAGGTTGGGAAGAGGAATGTGGAGGAAAGAAGTTGGTGAGTTGGTGTAGCTTTTTTTTTTAATTTTTTAAAAATTTTTTAGATGGAGTCTCGCTCTGTCACCCAGGCTGGAATGCAGTGGTACCATCTCAGCTCACTACAACCTCCACCTCCCAGGTTAAAATGATTCTTCTGCCTTGGCCTCCTAAGGAGTTGGGATTACAGTTGTGTGCCACAATGCCTGGCTAATTTTTGTATTTTTAGTAGAGATGGGGTTTTGCCTTGTTGGTCAGGCTGGTCTCGAACTCCTGACCTCAAGTGAACCATCCGCTGTGGCCTCCCAAAGTACTGGGATTCTAGGTGTGAGCCATCATGCATGGCCGGTGCAGCTTAAACTGGAGGCAGTTGTGGGGTTCTTGTCAACCCAAATTATGTATATATATGTATATATACACACACACACACACAGGCTAAATAATCTATATATATATATATATAGCTATATATATATAGATTATTATGTATAGATATATAGCTATATATATATAGATATATATAGCTCAGCAAAGTTATAATTCCACTTTGAGATCAAGGTCAGGCCTTCGTCAGGCCTGGGATCTGAATATCAGCTGAACTTGTCCTTGTACCACCTATTAACAGAGCCCTTTCTCAACTCCAAGCCCTTTATGGACAAGATCTCATCTAATCCTTACCATAACCCTATGACGTATAAGCAGTATCATTATCCTTATTTCACGGATGAGGAAAATGGAGTCCCAGGAGGTTAAGCGACTTGTTCAAAGTCACCTAGGATTCGATGTTGGGAAGAGCTGGGATTCAAACTGAGGTCCATCTTCTTCCACATCCTTTGGTCCTTCCCAGAACCCTGGGGCAGATGTGTAAGTCAGCTTTGCTGCATAACAAACAATCCTCACATCTCAATGGTTTACAACAATACACGTGGATTTCTTGCTCTTGTTAATGTCAGTGGCTGCAGCTGTGGCTACGCTGGGCTCTGCTCTGTGTGTCTTTTCATTCTGGGGTCTTATGGGACATGCCCATTCTTGTTGCAGAAGGGAAACTTGTAAGAAAGCAGGAGAAAACCCTAGCTATGCCTCTTACAGCTCTTAGGTGGATGTGACGGGCATTACATATTCTGTTGGCCAAAGCATGCCATATGGCCAAGTCAGTTGGCGGAAAACAGAGAAAGGAGTGAAAAATTAAAAACAATAATATATTCCACCATGTTTGCCCGCTTGGTTACAAAGATTTATTTCTGTCCCATCTGCTCTCAAAATACACCTCCCCATCACCCAAGGAAGACACCTCAAAAAGTCACATCCAGTCATGACAGAAGGCTTTGAGTCTAGGATCTTGTGCTGGTCTCCAATTCATTTGCAGAGAGATCATTGCCTCCAAGAGCCTTTTCTGCAGGCCCTTGTACTGTCTGAAACGAATAGAATAGACTGTCACTGTTTCAGATTCCCACGGGACAACTTGGGGGAAGGCATTTCAGTAGCAGGAGAGCTGGAAGACTAGCTAGGCCAGTCACAGCAGGAGATAATAGTAATAGTAATAATAATAATTACTAACATATATTGTGTGCATCCTGTGGGTCAGGCAGCATGTTAAGAACTGTATCTCTTTTCATCATCACAACACCATTTTATTATTTTATTCCATTTGTTAGCATTATCAACCCATTTTATAGAAACGGAGGCGGATGCTTGTCCCTGACCCCAGTTCACAGAATCACTCACTTAATTCCTGAAATGTCTCCTCACTGCTTACCTCTGATGGCTGACGGTCCTGGGCTATTAACCCTTTAATCTCTACCACTGCTGTCCCACTTCTAATGCCTTCCACACTATCTGAAGCAGTCTAATGCCCCACCATGCTCTCCCAAAAGTCTCACTGATCTTTCTTTCCCCACTCCCCTCAATCTACAACTTGTCGCTCTGAGCAATGGTCTGTATTTGTTTTTTTTTTTCAGGCAGGGTCTTACTCTGTTGCCCAGGCTGGATTGCAGTGGTGCAATCATGGCTCACTGCAGCCTCGACCTCCTAGGCCCAAATGATCCTCTCACCTCAGCCTCTGGAGTAGATGGGACCACAGGTATGCACCACCCTGCCTGGCTAATTTTTTTATTTTTTGTGGAGATGGTGCCTCACTATGTTGCCCAGGCTGGTCTTGAACTCCTGGGCTCAAGCAATCCTCCTGCCTTAGCCTCCCAAAGTGCTGGGATTACAGGTGTGAGCCACTGCACCTGGCTTGTATTTTTTTTTTTTCATTGTCTGAAATTTCTATAAACTTGGCCTGTGTTAGTTTTAAAACAACCAGGCTGAGAGCGGTGGCTCACACCTGTAATCCCAGCACTTTGGGAGGCCAAGGTGGGTGGATCCCCAGAGGTCAGGAGTTCAAGACCAGCCTGGCCAACATGGCAAAACCCCATCTCTACAAAAAATACAAAAATTAGGTGGTGGCAGGTGCCTGTAATCCCAGCTACTTGGGAGACTGAGGCAGGAGAATCACTTGAACCTGGGAGGCGGAGGTTGCTGTAAGCTGAGATGGCACCACTGCACTCCAGCCTGGGCAACAGAGTGAGACTCAAAAACACAACAACAACAAAAAAACACTTTAGTTACTTTAACAAATAGACACCAACTAGCAGTGACCGAAATAAGATAGAAGCTTATTTCTCTTTCATAGAAAGGTACTGTGAAAGGAAAATATCTTGGGCCCCCAAAATTACTAAGTAGGGGAAAAATCAAGCTGGGAACTGCTTGTGGAAAACCTGCCTCCCATTCTGTTCAAAGTCACCCCTCTGCTCACTGAGATAAACGCATATCTGATTGCCTCCTTTGGAAAGGCTAATCAGAAACTCAAAAGAATGCCCCCTATTTGTCTCTCACCTACCTGTGACCTGGAAGCCCCTTTCTTTCCCCCACTTCCAGTTGTCCCGCCTTTCTGGACCTAAACAATGTTCATCGTACATATGTTGATTGATGCCTCATGTCTCCCTAAAATGTATAAAACCAAGCTGTGCTCTGATCGCCTTGGGCACATGTCATCAGGGCCTCCTGAGGCTGTGTCATGGGCACACATCCTCAACCTTGGCAAAATAAACTTTCTAAATTAACTGAGACCTGTCTCAAATTTTCGGGGTTCACAGTACATATGGGCAGACTTGGGCTCAATGGCACTTCCATAATTATCAGATACCTGGGCTCCTTCCATCTTATTTTTATGCTATCCTCAACAGTTGTCAGCCCTCTTGAGACACAAGACAGCTGCTGTAGCACCTGCCGTCATGTGTGTATTCCAGCCAGAGAGAAGCTTGCAAAGGGGAAGCAAAGAGCATGCCCCTTAGTTTTAAGGACACTTCCTAGAACTTGTACATACCATTTCTGTGTACATCCCATTGGCTGGAAGGTAATCATAAGATCATATCACTACCACAGAGCTGCAATTGTTACCGGAAAGGAGTCCTGATCCAGACCCCAAGAGAGGGTTCTTGGATCTCGCACAAGGAAGAATTCAGGGCAAGTCCGTAAAGTGAAAGCAAATTTATTAGAGAAGTAAAGAAAAGAAAAAAAGAATGAGCCAGGTGCAGTGGCTCATGCCTGTAATCCCAGCACTTTGGGAGGCTGAGGCAGGCAGATCATTTGAGTCCAGGAGTTCAAGACCACCCTGGGCAATATGGCAAAACCCCATCTCCACACACACAAAAAAATTAGCCGGGCATGGTGGCATGTGCCTGTAGTCTCAGCTACTCAGAAGGCTGAGGTGGGAGGATCACTTGAGCCCAGAAGGCAGAGGTTGCAGTGAGCTGAGATTGTGCCATGGCACTCCAGTCTGGGTGACAGAGTGAGACCCTGTCTCAAAAAAATTAAAACAAATTAAAGGCTGGGCACAGTGGCTCACGCCTGTAATCCCAGCACTGTGGGAAGCCAAGGTGGGTGGATCACGAGGTCAGGAGATCGAGACCATCCTGGCTAACACAATGAAACCCTGTCTCTACTAAAAATACAAAAAATTAGCTGGGCGTGGTGGCACCTGCCTATAGTCCCAGGTACTCAGGAGGCTGAGGCAAGAGAATCGCTTTAACCCAGGAGGCGGAGGTTGCAGTGAGCCGAGATCATGCCACTGCACTCCAGCCTGGGTGACAGAGTGAGACTCTGTGTCAAAAAAAAAATTAAAATTAAAATAATAGCTTCTCCACGAACAGAGAAGCTGTGAGAGCTGCTGGTTGGCTATTTTTATAATTATTTCTTGATCATATGCTAAAGGGATGGATTATTCATAGGTGTTTTGGGAAAGGGGGAGGGATTTCCTGGAACTGAGAGTTCTTCTTCCTTTTAGACCAACACAAATTAAAGAAAGAGGAAAGAAACATGAAAGGTGGCTCACCAGTCAAGACAGGTTTATTTTAGAGAAAACAAACCTGAGAGGAGCTTCTGGCGAGTTGTCAAAGGCACACTCTCTTACAGACTAAGAGTTTTTAAGGATTCAGGGTGGGAGAGTTTATCAGAGGCTTGGGCTGCTTCTGTGTCTCTTTGTTGTGCTTATCTGGGAGGGAGAGTTGTGTGTTTGTTGCCAAACATCTTCCTGCAGCTGCAGGCATATCCTCTGAGTCTACTTTTAGCTTCCCTATCTTAGTGCACCTGAAGGGAAAGGAATATGCTTATTTAAGGCCCACTGTTTTACTGGGGCCCATTGTATGAGGGTGAAGTTCGGCAGTTACCTAAGAGACATTCCCCCCACATCCCTCTGTGCCCGAGCTATCTTATCTGTGTTTTACTCTCTGCTCTTTCTGGCTGCTTGTAGTTAGAAGAGAAGTGATCTCCTTGAAATGAATGAAGCTGGAAAGGGAGCTGGAACTTAAAGCAGCTTTAAGCTGCTTTAACAAATCTCTGTTTGTCAGAGATTACAGTGCTCCTGCTCTGTCAGTAGCTTCCAGACGTTGCCGTGGCATTTGTAAACTGTTGTGGTGCTGGTGGGAGTGTCTTTTAGCAGCTAATGCATTATATTAAAACACACACACACACACACACACACACACACACACACACACACACACACACACAGAGGGGTGAAGTCATTTGCTCAAGGTCACATGGCCAGGAAGCAGCCATTGCTGCTATATCTATCTATCTATCTAGACAGATATAGATAGATAGATATATAGTTTTTGGTTTGTTTGTTTTGAGACAAAGTCTCACTCTGTCATCCAGGCTGGAGTGCAGCAGCACAATCTCAGCTCGCTGCAACCTCCACCTCCCAGGTTCAAGTGATTCTTCTGCCTCAGCCTCCCAAGTAGCTGGGATTACAGGTGTGTGCCACCATACCTGGCTAATTTTTGTATTTTTACAGGTCATAAAAACCCCACTGATAAAACAGGATGCAGTAAAGAAGCCAGCCAAAACCTGCCAAAACTAAGATGACAATCAAAGTGACTTCTGGTCATACTGACTGCTCCTTATACACTAATTATAATGCATTAGCTTGGCCAGGCACAGTGGCTCATGCCTGTAATCGCAGCACTTTGGGAGGCCAAGGCAGGCAGATCACCTGAGGTCAGGAGTTCAAGACCAGCCTGGCCAACATGGTGAAACCCCATCTCTACTAAAAAATACAAAAAATTAGCTGGGTGTGGTGGTGGGTGCCTGTAGTCCCAGCTACTCGGGAGGCTGAGGCAGGAGAATGGCGTGAACCCAGGAGGAAGAGCTTGTAGTGAGCCGAGAATGCCCCACTGCACTCCAGCCTGGGCGACAGAGCAAGACTCTGTCTCAAAAAAAAAAAAAAAAAAAAAAAGAAACTAACACTTACTCTTCAAATGTAAACTCCATATTAATTCAGAGCAGGGGCTGGGCCTTGCAATGGGTAGGGCAGAGAAGCAGGTATCGAATTGTCTGATTGGTTTCTCCTCTGGCCCCCAAACTAACAAAACAACACCCCCACCCCCAAAAGGCTGTGGATGAGGACGGGCACAGTGGCTCATGCCTGTAATCCTAGCACTTTGGGAAGCTGAGGTGGGCAGATCACATGAGGTCAGGAGTTCAAGACCAGCCTGGCCAACATGGTGAAACCCCATCTCTACTAAAAATACAAAAATTAAGCTGGGCACGGTGGCTCACACCTGTAATCCCAGCACTTTGGGAGGACGAGACGAGCGGATCACGAGGTCAGGAGTTCAAGACCAGCCTGGCCAACATGGTGAAAACCCGTCTGTACTAAAAATACAAAATTAGCCAGGCGTGATGGCAGGCACCTGTAATCCCAGCTACTCAGGAGGCTGAGGCAGGAGAATCACTTGAACCTGGGCAGCAGAGGTTGCAGTGAGCCAAGATCGAGCCACTGCACTCTAGCCTGGGCGATAGAGTGAGACTCTGTCTCAAAAAAAAAAAAAAAAAAAAGCCAGGTGTGGTGGTGCACACCTGTAATCCCAGCTACTCAGGAGGCTGAGGCAGGAGAATCACTTGAACCGGGGAGGTGGAGGTTGCGGTGAGCCGAGATCATGCGACTGCACTCCAGCCTGGGTGACAGACCAAGACCCAAAACTCCGTCTCAAAAAGAAAAAAAAAAAAAAAAAAAGGGCTGTGAATGAGATGGGCTTGTATTATCCCATTGGAACCTGGCTTTTCCAGGACTTTCTTCTGACTATACTCATCTCTGAGGCGGGTCCCTGTGAATGGTTTTCTTGTCCTGTCATCCACAGGGTTAATCCCTTGAGGGATGTGTTCAGATTGCTGCTTGGCTGCTTCCTGGCTGTGTGACCTTGGGCAAATGACTTCACTTCTCTGAGCTTCAGTTTCCTCCTCTGCAAAATGGAGGTAAGAATAGTGCTTAGCTCATGCAACTGTTGTGAAGGAATGGAAGAGATAAGCAATGGGAAGTGTTTAGCCTGCAACCTCATCTTAGAGCACCTGATACAATCGAACTATCATTACCATTCTCAGATAATTTTTTAAAATAGTGTCTCCTCAAGCAACTGTTTAGAACAGCGCTATCCATTAGAAATAGAATTCAAGGCCGGGCACGGTGGCTCACGCCTGTAATCCCAGCACTGTGGGAGGCCAAGGCGGATGGATCCCTTGAGGCCGGGAGTTCGAGACCAGCCTGGCTAACATGGTGAAACCCCCTCTCAACTAAAAATACAAAAATTAGCCAGGTGTGATGGTGGGCGCCTGTAGTCCCAGCTACTTGGGAGGTTGAGGCGGGAGAATCGCTTGAATCTGGGAGGCAGAGGTTGCAGGGAGCCAAGATCTCGCCACTGCACTCCAGCCTGGGCAACAGAGTGTGTTTAAAAAAAAAAAAAAAGAATTCAAACCACATATGGACTTTTAATTTTTCCAGTAGCCTCATTAAAAAAGCTGAAGTTAATTTAAATGATATATTTAATTTAACCTGATATATTTTAAAAATGACCATTTTAACACGTAATCAATATAAAGAAAGCATTCTGGTCGGGCACAGTGGCTCATGCCTGTAATCCTGGCACTTTGGGAGGCCGAGTCGGGTGGATCACCTGAGGTCAGGAGTTCAAGACCAGCCTGGCCAACATGGTGAAACCCCGTCTCTACTAAAAATACAAAAATTAGCCGGGCACGGTGGTAGGCACCTGTAATCCCAACTACTTGAGAGGCTGAGGCAGTAGAATAGCTTGAATCTGGGAGGTGGAGGTTATAGTGAGCCAAGATCATGCCATTGTACTCCAGCCTGGGTGACAAGACAGTCCATCTCAAAAAAAAAAAGAGAGAGAGAAAAAAAAGAAAGTATTTCAAGGCTAGGTGCAGTGGCTCATGCCTGTAATCCTAGCACTTTGGGAGGCCAAAGTGAGAGGATTGCTTGAAGCCAGGAATTTGAGACCAGTCTGGGCAACATAGTGAAACCCTGTTTCGAAAGAAAGAAAAGAAAGAAAGAAAGAAAGAAAGGAAGGAAGGAAGTAAAGAAAATTAGCTAGAAGTGATTACACATACACAAGTCCCAGCTACTTGTGAGGCCATTACAGCTTGGGTGACAGAGTGAAACCCTGACTCATAGAAATAAGAAAAAAAAGAAAGAAGGAAGGAAAGAAAATGAATGAAAGAAAGAAAGAAAGAAAAGAAATTAATTTAGCACCATAGGAAAGGTTTTTTTTAAAAAAGCATGAGCTATGTTATCCTCTTTTTTTTTTTTTGTATAAGGCTACAAAATCTGGTATTTTGCACTTATATCCCATCTCAGTTCGGACAAGCCACATTTCAAGGGCCCAAAACCCCATTTGGTGAGTGGCAGCCATATTGGATAGAGACAGCCCACCTTCTCTGGTTTTGTCTCTGCAGATAGCCAAGGAAACCTAATTATGCATCCAACTCTCTGGCCCATTGGCTGAGTCACCTGCCGGGAAGCTTTCAGAATATTTATAGGTAACTGATCTACAGAAAACAGAAAGTGATACCATCTCCAGCCCCCACAACCTTTCTTCAGTCTCAAGTTTGCCGTCTCAGCTACTGTTTTCTAGAGGCCCAGTGGGAAGAGTATGCAAAGTGGCAGTAAAGTACATATGTAAACGTGTAGGCAAAAGGCTGAGAGGATTCTTACCAAACTACTCACAGTGGAAAATAAGAGTAATGTCCAAGCAGAGTTTAGTTTTGTCAGTCATGCCCTAATTTTGTTTTTGTTTTTTAGAATGTATTCATTCACATATTACTTGTGTAAGTGAAAGTCAATTGATATATATATAGAGATAATAGTAAAGAAAAGTAACCATGATTTGCGGTAAATCCCCAAGAAGTTTAATGGAAAGCAGTGAGTGCAGAGATTACAAGGTGGACTCTGGGGCCGGCTGCCTGCCTTTGCATCCTAGCCCTGCTGTCTACTAGCTGTGTGACCTTGGGCAAGGTTCTCTTGCTTTCTGGGCCTCAGTTTCCTCATCTATAAACTAAGGATAATGATGGGACCTATGTTACAAGGTTGTCACAATGATTTGATGAGCAGGTGTAAGGTGTTAAGATGGGATCTGGAACACAGAGTCTCAGCTGTAATAACTAAAATAATTAGTATTATCACTGTTTTTGGTGGAAGAGTAAGTAGCAAGAAACTCTCTTGGTGAAAATACAAGAGCTGCGGTGGCTCACGTCTGTAATCCCAGCACTTTGGGAGGTCGAGGCGGGCAGATCACTTGAGGTCAAGAGTTTGAGACCAGCCTGGCCAACATGATGAAACCCTATCTCTACTAAATATAGAAAAAATTTGCCAGGCGCGGTGGCGCACCCCTCTAGTCGTAGCTACTCAGGAGGCTGAGGCAGGAGAATCGCTTGAACCTGGGAGGCGGAGGTTGCAGTGAGCTGAGATCACGCCACTGCATTCTAGCCTGGGCGACAGAGCGAGACTCCATCTCAAGAAGAAAAAAAAAGGAAATAATATGCTGGAGTGAGAGCTGCAAGACCAGCTGCTAAGCCTGGATCTGCCATTACCTAATTTGTGTAAACTTGGGCCTCAGTTTTGTACTAATTCTAACAACAACATACATTTTCTAGTCCTTACTATCATTTCGGAACTCTACATGTCTCGTTTCATCAGATCTTCACAACACCCCTCTGAGAGAGAGATACTGTTGTTGTTGTTGTTATTATTACTATCTTGAGACGGAGTCTCGTTCTGTCGCCCAGGCTGGAGTGCAATGGCACGATCTCGGCTCACTACAACCTCTGCCTCCCGGCTTCAAGTGATTCTCCTGCCTCAGACTGCCGAGTAGCTGGGATTACAGGTGCCCGCCACCACACCCAGCTAATTTTTGTATTTTTAGTAGAGACGGGGTTTCACCATGTTGGTCATGCTGGTCTCGAACTCCTGACCTCAGGTGATCCCCTGCTTCAGCCTCCCAAAGTGCTAGGATTACAGGTGTGAGCCACCACGCCTGGTCGAGATACTGTTATTATTACCATTCTATAGATAAGGAAACCGAGGCTCAGAGAGCTGACACGGCTTGCCCAAGTCGGCAGCTTCTAAGTCCCAGGAAAGGGATTTGAACTCAGTGTTGTCTAGCCGACATGAGAGGCTGAGGCAATGCTCTCTGCACCATGCAGCCCCATGTGTGAGGTCTTTTCCAGCTTTGCTTTGTCTGTGATGCTGGCAGTTGAGTTGCATGATAAGAGCTAGGAGTTTGGGGTTGGAGTACAGGTTCTTTTGAGCTTTTGGACCCTAGAGTTCTTTCATCTGTATAATGGGGCCAAGAACAATGCAGTGCCCTGAATTTGAGTTTTGTATTTGCTTTTGTTTTTGTTTTTTTGAGACAGGGTCTTGCTGCATCGCCCAGGCTTGAGTGTAGTGGTGTGATCTCGGCTTACTGTAACCTCCACCTCCTGGGTTCAAGCAATTCTCCCACCTCAGCCTCCTGAGTAGTTGGGATTACAGGTGCCCACCACCATGCCAGGATAATTTTTGTATTTTTAGTAGAGAAGGGATTTCATCATGTTGGTCAGGCTGGTCTCGAACTCCTGGTCTCAAGCAATCCACCCACCTTGGCCTCCCAAAGTGCTGGGATTACAGGTGTGAGCCACCATGATTGGCGCTGAATTTGAGGGTTTTCTTTCCAGCTCTCTCCAGGGCTTTCTTTAGACTTTCTTCCTCATTTTGTCTCATCTTTCCAAACACCTCACTCACAAGATCACTTGAAGATCACAGGAAGCCAGTGGAAGGTATCTGAGATGATTAAACAGCACCAGGTTTTTTAGCTATGTTATGTAAGAAGAGGAAAAGAGGGAAGTTGCAGGGGAAGAAATTTGAATCAGATTACATTAAAGGATACAAGTGGGGCTTTCAGACAATGGTGACTTTTGCACAGGGTCTCATGAGGCAACACACGGGGGCACACACCTGCGTGTCTTCATGTAGATATGCTGTGTGAGACACCCCCGCAGCGGATGTTCTGGGGGAAAACAAGGAAGCTGTTAAATGATCCAGCTGTTCTGTCTGAATACGTTGCACATCTGGTGGCCTGGAAATCTCCAGGTGACTTTTCACTTTATATTCACTGTCTTGCTGCCTGGCCCCAATCTTGAGACTCTAGAGGAGGGGAAAAGGGAGGGAAAAAAGAGAAATGGGGGTGGATTGGAGGCAAGGGGTCAGGGGAGGGAAAAGAGCAGAGAGAGAGAGAGACAGAGAGAAATGGAGAAAGGGAGAGGAAAATCAAGAGAAACTGACATGGAGGGATAGGGAAACACAGAGACAGAAAGATAAACTTCACAGAGAGAGAGACAGACAGAAAAAGAAAGCTAGATGATATAGAGTCACATAGAGAAAGTCGGTCATATACAACATACAGCGTAAGAGAGAAATAGACAAAGATTGAGAATGAGGGATCCACATACAGAGATGGAGACAAAGAAAGTCAGAGACAGCTGGGCACGGTGGCTCACACCTGTAATCCCAGCACTTTGGGAGGCCGAGGCAGGCAGATCACTTGAGATCCGGAGTTCAAGACCAGCCTGGGCAACACGACGAAACCCTGTCTCTACAAAAAATACAAAAATTAGCCAGACATGATGGCCGGCGCCTGTAGTCCCAGCTACTTGGGAGGCTGAGGCGGGAGGATAACTAGAGCCCAGGAGATTGAGGCTGCAGTGAGCCAAGATCGTGCCACTGCATTCCAGCCCGGGTGACAGAGTGAGAACCCATCTCTAAATAATAATAATAATAATAGAAAGTCAGAGACACACCCACAAACACTCCATGAGAGAGATTCACGTAAAGAGATGGACTGCCAGCCCTTTGAGGAAGAGAGTGACAGAGGAAGAGATGAAGAGATTGAGACTGAGAAAGACAAATGCACTCACAGAGATACACAGAGAGATAAAAGAAATAGAGACAGAAAGAAAAAGGCGCAGAAACAGAGATCCACACAGAGAAGGAAAATAAATTGTTTAAACGAAAAGAGCCTGGAGGGGCTTGGCGAGGTGGCTCATGCCTGTAATCCCAGCAATTTGGGAGGCTGAGGCATGTGGATCACTTCAGCCAAGGAGTTCGAGACTAGCCTGGGCAACATAGTGAGACCTTGTCTCTTAAAAAAAAAAAAAGCCATCAGGATTTTCTGTTCTGCCAAAAAAATCCTGAGAGTCAGAATGTGTTAGGCCTTAATGCAAAACATTCATCTCTTCAGAGGAAAGAGTGGGTTTAAAAAATGTTTTTAATATAAGTAATTACTCCCCAAATGGAAAATTATTTTGTTCATTTTTTTCTTCTTATAACATCAGAACTTTCTGAGCCACACCAAAGACAGTATTCAAGTGTTGTTTATCTACTTTCCACTAACATCTAGCATCAGCGGTTTCTTTTCAAGAGGAGAAAAAAGTTTCCGGGCAAGACTGAGGCCTCTTGCTGGATGTTGTGGGCTGCAGAGCAGGCTGCCATGTAGAAAATGCTAGAACAAGGAAGGAAATCCCCTTGCACCTCCTGTGTGGATGGGTGATGAGGAGTGGCTGCTGGCGGGGCTGTGTGAGAGACAGTTCTGAGGCTGCATCTCCGGGAGAAAGAGTGCTATGATCCATTGCTGATGTCTGCCACAATCAGGGAGGGGGCAGTCACAGTGGGCTTGCCATGTATTTGCCATTCCTATACCAGAATCTAGAACTTGCCTGATATATCAGCATGGTCTGGGATAAGAGTATAAATGGAGGCCACATACCATACATGTAAATATGTAAGTTAGAAAAGTCAGAAATCAGCTGGATGTGGTGGCTCATGCCTGTAATTCTAGCACTTTAGGAGGCTGAGGCGGGAGGATCGCTTGAGCCCAGGAGTTCAAGAACAGCCTGGCCAACATAGCAAAACCCTGTCTCTACAAAAAATACAAAAATTAGCCAGGTGTTTTGGTGTATGCCTGTGGTCCCAGCTACTTGGGAGGCTGAAGTGGCAGGATGACCTGAGCCCAGAAGGTTGAGGCTGCTGTGAGCCGTGCCACTGCATCCAACCTGGGTAACAGAGTGAGACTCTGTCTCAAAAAAAAAAAAAAAAAAAAAAAAAAAGAAAGAAAGAAAGAAAGAAAAGAAAAGTTTGAGGCCAGGCACAGTGGCTCACACCTGTAATCCCAGCAATTTGAGAGGCCGAGGCAGATGGATCACCTGACATCAGGAGTTCAAGACCAGCCTGGCCAACATGGTGAAACCCTGTCTCTACTGAAATACAAAAATGAGCCAGGCATGGTGGCAGGCGCCTGTAATCTCAGCTACTCAGGGGCTGAGGCAGGAGAATTGCTTGAACCAAGGAGGCAGAGGTTACAGTGAGCCGAGATCTCACCATTGCACTCCAGCCTGGGCGAAAGAGCCAGACTCTGTCTCAAAAAAAAAAAAAAAGAAAAGAAAAAGTAAAGTTCAAAACCAAGTTATTCCAATAGCCTGGCCATGGGATCTTCCTCTAGGTCCCAGAAGCCCAGCCCCTGGGATTTCTCTGACAGCCTGTGCACAGGCTAAAGGAGCTGAAGTCTTCCCTGGGCCATCCTTGCCACCCACAATCCTGAGTGGTGACTGGATGTGCAGGGCAAGGCATGGTGACGGGACCTGCGGGGGCCTGCAATGGGGACTTCTCTAGGCGATTTTACTCAGGATTTCCAGGCAGTTCTAAATTACACTATCCCAGTAGCGGGGAGGAAGGAAGCATGGTTATCTGGGGAGTGTGATCTAAGACATCAACTTTGGGCGATTAGAGGCAGTCGGCTTCAAACTGAAGGAGCCATTTTTCCTTCAGTGCCCAGCTCAATGTCTGGCACATAGTAGTTGCTCAGGAAATATTTGTTTCAAAAAAATGAAAGTGTCAATGTCAGTGTTGTAGGATTTTTAAAGATGTTGTAGGACTCTCTCTGTAGTTCAGCTAAGAGCTGGATCATTGTCACACGGCCACAAAAAATTAGGCTTGCAGACAATTTGAAGGGTGAGGAAGGCAGGGTTTATTGGGTGAAACGGAAAAAAGGGAAACAGAGACCCTCCGCAAGGTCAGAGTTCTCCTGACATGCTTCCTGCCTCACAAATTGAATCCCAGGTTCCACCCAGGAACAGGAGGGGCCAGGCTCCTCCCCGCTGCAAATGGTGGCAGTTTCTGTGGCTCCACCCCAGTGCACACTCCTCCCAGTGGGCAGGCTAGTTGGAGTTTTTTTTGGGGACCCCCTTACACTTGACTGTCTCATTAGGTCCTGCAACTCAGTACTCCCTCCCAAAGGTGAGGGACCAGGGAGTGCAGAGAGGTGCAGGGGGCTGATTTTATTTTATACAGGTGGTCAGAGGAGGACACACAGGTAAAGTGACATTTGAGCAAAGACTGAGGGAAATGAGGGAGTGAGCCATGAAGGTATCTGGGGGATGAGGTGGTAGGCAGAGAGAACAGCCAGTGCAGAGGCCCCAAGGGCAGGTGCCTGTCATGTTTTAAGAACAGAAAAGTGCCGGGCACGGTGGCTCATGTCTGGAATCCCAACACTTGGGCAGGCTGGGGCCGGCAGATCACCTGAGTTCAGGAGTTCGAGATCAGCCTGGCCAATATGGCGAAACCCCGTATTTACTAAAAATACAGAAATTAGCTGGGTGTGGTGGGGCATGCCTCTAATCCCAGCTACCTGGGAGGCTGAGACACGAGAATCACTTTTCCAGTTCTCTGTCAAAAAAAAAAAGAGACAAAAGAACAGCAAGGAGGCCTGTGTGGCTGGAATAGTGTGAGTGAAAGCGGAGCAAGGGGTTGTGTGATCAGAGGAGGCTGAGGCTTATTCCCATAGGGCCCTGTGGCAATGTTACGGGCTTTGGCTTTTATTCTGAGTGAGATGGGTTCATCTGAGAGTTTGGACCCCAGAACTGCCTTGCCCAGGTGAGAAGTGATGGACCAGTAACTTGGAGATGGGGAGAAGTGGTCAGATTTTAGATCTACAGTCGTCCCCCGCTTCTCTATGGTTTCACTTTCCGTGGTTTCAGTTACCCATGGTCAACCGCAGTCAGAAAATCATAAAATAGAAAAATTCCAGAAATAAATAATTTGTAAGTTTTAAATTGAGTGCCGTTCTGAGTAGCATAATGGAATCCTGCCTGTCCTCCGTTTTGGGACGTGAAACATCCTTTTGTGTCACTTGGTAGCTGTCTCAGTTATCAGATCAAAAAAACATAGTCTATGCAGGCTTCAAGGACCGTCCTCAGCTTCCGGCATCCACAGGGAGTCTTGGAGCATGTCCCCTGAGGATAACGGGGGACTGCTGTGTGTTGGAGGCAGAGATGACAAAATTCGGTAAGGAATTGGGCATGGAATGGGAGAAAAAAGAGTCTGGGAGGATCCAAAGTTTTGGCCTGAGCAATTGGAAGGATGGAGTTGCCACTATTTCCTGGATCTGGGAAAAGGTGTGGGAGGCACTCATTTAGGGCCACCAACCATAAATTCGACATGAGAAATGGATTCAGGGCCAGGCGCAGTGGCTCACGACTGTAATCCCAGAACTTTGGGAGGCTGAGGCTGGTCTCGAGCTCAAGACCAGCCTGGCCAACATGGTGAAACCCCGTCTCTACTAAAAATACAAAAAATTAGCTGGGTGTGGTGGTGCGTGCCTGTAGTCCCAGCTACTCGGGAGGCTGAAGCCGGAGAATCGCTTGAACCCTGGAGGCAGAGGTTGCAGTGAGCCAAGATCACGCCACTGCACTCCAGGCTGGGCGACAGAGAGACTCCGTCTCAAAAAACAAAAAACAAAAATTAAAAAAAAGAGAGAAATGGATTCAGGGGCCAGATTGTGCAATCCAGTTGCAGTAAATACCGCATAAGATAATTGCATTTTTTTTTTTCCTTCTAGGACTTCCTGGCTTCTCATCTTTATTTTGATTCCCCCTCTTCTCTCTGCAGATAGGTTTTTCCCTGGTCGTCAGCATGCCTCAGGCTGAAACCACCCATCTCTTCCCTGATTCCATCATTGTTTGGCCAGCTACTGCCTTTGTCTCTCAGTTTACACCCTGAAAGCAGCAATTTTCAAATTGTGGACCAAGGCGCTGGGGTTCCCCACAAACTCACAGGTTCAGCAGGGGATATTTACATTTTCAAAGCAAATACAGTGAAAGTTCACATCTCTCAGATGCTTCCCAAACTACTGGCTGAAGGAGCTTACAGTTTCAGCGTTAGACCGCACTACATCCCTTTCCACAATGTCATCTTTTCGCAAGCTGGGCTTTCTGTGATTGCTGTAATAAAAAGCAATTAGTAGCCGAAAATCAGCATGGAACAGGAAATGAGGCAGTGCCCTGATCTGATTCCAAGGTTCGAGAATTTGTGCAGTGCCCAACAGACACACACTTTCCATTCGACAGCAAGTGTGGATATTTCAGAATGAATGAAAAATATTTTTTCTTTCAATTTATCTTTTCAAAAGGCTGCTAAGTTGTTAGGCCACAAATAGTTATTAAGTTGCTTGATGTAACTACTTAACAAGTGGAACTGTTAGGTATTTCTTTTGGCCTAAGGCTACCCTGAAAAAAAAAAAAGAAAACCCTAAGATTCCATTTTTTTTTTTTTTGGAGACAGAATCTCGCTCTGTCACCCGTCACCCATGCTGGAGTGCAGTGGCACAATCTCAGCTCACTGCAGTCTCTGCCTTCTGGGTTCAAGCGATTCTCCTGCCTCAGCCTCCCGAGTAGCTGGGATTACAGGCATGCACCACCGCACTCGGCTGATTTTTGTATTTTTGGTAGAGATGGGTTTCACGTGTTGGCCAGGTTGGTCTTTAACTCCTGACCTCAAGTAATCCACCACCTCAGTCTCCTAAAGTGCTAGAATTACAGGTGTGAGCCACTGCACCTGGCTGAAACCCTGACTATTATTTATTTATTATTATTATTTTGAGACAGAGTCTCACCCTGTCATCCAGGCTGGAGTGCAATGGCATGATTTCGGCTCACTGCATCCTTCGTCCTCCCAAGTCCAAGCGATGTGATTCTCCTGCCTCAGCCTCCCGAGTAGCTCAGATTACAGGCACATGCCACCATGCACAGCTAATTTTTTTGTACTTTTAGTAGAAACAGGGTTTCACCATGTTGGCCAGGCTGGTCTTGAACTCCTGACCTCAAGTGATCCACCCGCCTTGGCCTCCCAAAGTGCTGGGATTACAAGCATGAGCCATCATGCCTGGCTGAAAACCCTGACCTTCTAAGGACACCAGGAATGGAGAAAGCTTGAGAGCCTCTGCTCGTGGGAGAGGCTCTACTTGGCTACTGGCCAGCCAATGGGTTGATGGCTTTGGATCAGGTGGCCATGGCTGCCCCAGTCAGGGGCCCATCTGGTCCAGAGGCTTCATCTGGGGAAGGGAGTGTGAGCTGGCAGGTAAGATCCTTTAGGGACGGTCGCAGCGGCTCATACCTCTATTTCCGGTGCTTCGGGAGGCTGAGGTACTAGTTTGAGGCTTCAGCTTCCTGAGGCTTGAGCCCAGGAGTTTGAGACCAGCCTGGGCAACACAGTGAGACCCCATCTCTACAAAAAATACAAAAATTAGCCAGGCGTGGTGGTGTGTGCCTGTAGTCCCAGCTATTCTGGAGGCTGAGGCAGGAGGATCGCTTGAGCCCAGGAGCTGAGGCTGCAATGAGCTATGATCACACCACTGCACTCCAGCTAGGCAACAGAGCAAGACCCTTTCTTAGAAAAAAAAAAAAAAAAAAAAGATCCTTTAGGACTTTAGGATCCACTTTGGTGCCTGCCCCTAGTCTCTGACATACCTGGCAAAGTAAACACTGTGGGCTTTCCATGTTTCCGCTGCTCAGCGATTGTCTCCCCATGCTGAATTTGTGACTTCTCTGGTTGATGGCTCTCAGGGGGACAGGCAGAGCACACCTCAAGGAAGCCGGGTTGCCTGTACACCCTTTCCCAGCATCCGTTGTAACCGACTAATCAGCTGCACCCACCGATGATTTTTTTTTTGAGTGGGGTCTTGCTATATTGCCCAGGCTGGTCTCGAACTCCTGGGCTCAAGCAATGCTCCTCCTGCCTTGGCCTCCCCAAATGCTAGGATTACAGGCATGAGCCACTGGGCCTGGCCCATCCACAGAGGATTTGGACCCCGGGGTGGTCAGAGAAAGGGACAAAGAGAAATTTGGGGTGAGGGATGGAAGGTGGGGTGGAAGTGGCAGGACTGTCCATGTTCCAGGGTCAGCAGTAGCAGTCAGTGGGCTGGCAGCGTTCAGAGACACAAGCTGGGGGGTTCTTAGCAGCCTGGTCCCAGGCAGGTTTCTGAGTGTGTTTCCCACTGTGTGTCTGTCTTCTGTGTGTGCCTTCCAGGCAATTGTGGGAGCTCATGGCTCTCCGTGTTGAATTTCTTTTCTGCTGAATTTAGCGAGTCTGCTTATATGTCTGGAGTTGCTACTAAAAACCCTGAAGAGGCCGGGTGTGGTGGCTCACGCCTGTAATCCCAGTACTTTGGGAGGCCAAGGTGGTCAGATCACTTGAGGTCAGGAGTTCAAGACCAGTCTGGCCAACATGGTGAAACCCCATCTCTACTAAAAATATAAAAATTAGGTGGGTGTGGTGGTGGGCACCAGCTATTGAGGAGGCTGAGGCAGAAGAATCTCTTGAACCCGGGAAGCAGAGGTTGCAGTGAGCCGAGGTCGTGCCAATGCACTCCAGCCTGGGTGACAGAGTGAGAGTCAATCTCAAAACAAAACAAAACAAACAACAACAACAAAAACCCTGAGCTGATACGGGTACCCACCTCTGAGAGTGAGGAAAAAATTGAAAAGTTTTTCAATTTTCAATTTTTTCATTTTCAGTTTTTTCCTCTGCTCTCACTCTTCAACTGCAACAATCACAGGCGACTTCTGTGACCATATGCATAGGGGTTTCTCTCCACCACCAAGCAAGCAATCGAGTCTGCAGTGGACACCAACTGAGCATCCTCCAATTCATTTCTGACACTATGTCCTTGCAGGTGGTGTCAGATCCAGGTGTCAGGTTGGGGGCTCAGTCCCCAGGACTGCCCCCCACCTTCAAACACCAATCGCAAGTCCCAGCGTCCAGAACTTCTACTGACCTACTTCAAGATGGGGTTCCCATGACCTCCTTTTTGGGTTTGATTAATTTGCTAGAGTGGCTCACAGAACTCAGGGAAATACATTTACTGGCTTATTATAAAGGATTTTACAAAGTATACAGATGAAGAGATGCATATGTTGAGGTAAGGGAGAAAGGGCATGGAGCTTCCCTGCCCTCCAACAGCCTTTGGGAGAGAACACCATTCCCTGGGAACCCCCACATGCACGGCTGTCCAGAAGCTCTACAAACCCTATCCTGTTGGGCCTTTTTTTTTTTGATGGAGTATCGCTCTGTTGCTCAGGCTGGAGTGCAGTGGCACGATCTTGGCTCACCGTAGCCTCTGCCTCCCAGGCTCAAGCGATTCTCCTGCCTCAGCCTCCCGAGTACCTGGGATTACAGGCACATGCCACTATGCCTGGCTAAATTTTGTATTTTTAGTAGAGACGGGGTTTCGCCATGTTGGCCAGGCTGGCCTTGAACTCCTGACCTCAGATAATCTGCCCTCCTCGGCCTACCAAAGTGTTGGGATTACAGGCTAGCACACGCAGCCGGCCCTTTTATGAAGATTTTATGGGATAGACATGACCGACAACTGTGTAGAAAGGTGACTGGACAAAAAGGGCAAATGGTCTAATGCTAGTAGACTGAGGGGGGAAACCCAGCAAGCCTGTCTGTTCAGATTCTTCTTGGCCTCTCTGTGCAGCCTTCTTTCCTCTGCGTTATGGGGCAGGACCCCTTCTGAAATGAGGGTCTTATGATTTTACTATCAGACAAGGTAGGTCAGAGAATTTCCTTATGGTCAGCTCCGAGATAGAAAGGTGGGGGAAGATTTCTGCTTTGGGGAGAGAATGGAGCAGGTGAAAGAAGGGGAGAAGGTCAGATAGAGATTCTGTTTCTGAGGCTGGCTTCTGAGGCCTAAAGCACCCCAATGTTACAAAAAAGGCTATGGGGGCCAGGCACGTTGGCTCACGCCTGTAATCCCAGCACTTTGAGAGGCAGAGGTGGGCGGATCACCTGAGGTCAGGAGTTTGAGACCAGCCTGACCAACATGGAGAAACCCTGTCTCTACTAATAATACAAAAATTAGCTGGGTGTGGTGGCACATGCCTGTAATCCCAGCTACTCAGGAGGCTGAGGCAGGAGAATCGCTTAAACCCGGGAGTTGGAGGTTGTAGTGAGCTGAGATTGTGCCATTGCACTCCAGCCTGGGCAACCAGAGTGAGATTACATCTCAGAAAAAAAAAAAAAAAAAAGGCTATGGGAATTCTGAGTCAGCAACCATGGACAAAAACCAACATCTATATCATAATGTCATACCACCTTATTCATTTATTGGTTGAAAAAAAGTCTATGAAGTATATAAGACATAGAAAATGTATATATACACTTTATCTATTTTTACTTTTTTTTATTTTTTTGAGCCAGGGTCTGGCTCTTGTCGCCCAGGCTGGAGTGCAGTGGTGTGATCTCGGCTCACCACAACCTCTGCCTCCCCAGTTCAAGTGATTTTCCTGCCTTAGCCTCCCAAGTAGCTGGGATCACAGGTGTGCACGACCACGCCTGGTTAATTTTTGTATTTTTAGTAGAGATGAGGTTTCACCATGTTGCCCAGGCTGGTCTCAGACACCTGACCTCAAGTGATCCACCTGCCTTGGCCTCCCAAAGTGATTGGATTACAGGCGTGAGCCACTGTGCTCGGTCCTATACGTCCACTTTAAAAAGCACCAATAAAACAAATACCCATGCCCACACCAGCCAGGCCATTAAATCAAGTGGGATGATCCAATGCTCTGGGTTTGCCTGGGACAGTTTTGGTTTGCACCTGTTTTCTGCCATGATCATTACTAACAGCCTCCCTTTTTGTCTGCAAAGGTGGGCCAGTGAGGTAACAAAATATATGGTCCCTTCGCCCAGAAGATAATGATTGGATATAATTCGGATCCATGTATCCATCCAAATCTCATGTTCAGTTGTAATCCCCAACAATCATGCTTCCTGTACAGCCTGCAGAACTGTGAGCCAATTAAACCTCTTTTTTTATTTTGATTTTTTATAAATTACCCAGTCTCAGGTATTTCTTCCTAGCAATGCAAGAATAGACTAATATGGCTGGGCACAGTGGCTCATGCCTGTCATCCCAGTACTTTGAGAGGCTGAGGCAGGCGGATCACTTGAGGACAGGAGTTCAAGACCAGTCTGGCCAACATGGTGAAACCCCATCTCTACTAAAAATACAAAAAATTAGGCCGGGCGCGGTGGCTCACATCTGTAATCCCAGCACTTTGGGAGGCTGAGGCTGGCAGATCATGAGGTCAAGAGATCGAGACCATCATGGCCAACATGGTGAAACCCCGTCTCTATTAAAAATACAAAAAGTAGCTGGGCGAGGTGGCGCATGCCTGTAATCCCAGCTACTTGGGAGGCTGAGGAAGGAGAATCGCTTGAACCTGGGAGGCAGAGGTTGCAGTGAGCCAAGATTGTGCCATTGCACTCCAGCCTGGTGACAGAGCAAGACTCCATCTCAAAAAAAAAAAAAAAAAAAAAAAAATTAGCTGGGCATGGTGGTGCATGCTTTTTTTCCCAGCTACTTGGGAGGCTGAGGCAGGAGAATCACTTGAACCCGGGAGGCAGAGGTTGCAATGAGCCAAGATTGTGCCATTGCACTCCAGCCTGGTGACAGAGCAAGACTCCGTCTCAGAAAAGGAAAAAAAAAAAATTAGCTGGGCATGGGCATGGTGGTGGTGCATGCCTGTTTTCTCAGCCACTTGGGAGGCTGAGGCAGGAGAATAGCTTGAACCCGGGAGGCAGAGATTGCAATTAGCCGAGATGGTGCCACTGCACTCCAGCCTGGGAGACAGGGAAGTCTCTGTCTCAAAAACCAAAAAAACAAAAAACAATGGACTAGTAGGCCACCTGTGTTCTCCACTTCCCTTCCTCAATTGCAGCCCCTTCCTTTTATCAAGGAACTACCATCTGGAAATTTACTTTACTTATTTTTCCCTTTTCTTTATAGTTTAAATACCCAAACAATGTATTGCTTAGCTGTACGTGTTTTCAAGCTTATATAAACTGAATAATCCCATTCATTTTTTTTGTGACTTGCTTTCTCCCACTTAATGTCAAGTATGTGAGATTTATGCTTGTTGTTGCAAATAGCTATGGTTTATTCCTTTCTCCCACCATATAACATTCCATTATGTGCAGAGACCACAGTTTATCCCTTCTCCTTTTGGTGAGAAGAGACTTGTTTCTAGGTTTTGTTGTTATAAACAATGCTGCTAGGAATGTTCCTGGATGTGTGTCTTGGCTGACTTGGGCAAGCATTTCTGCAGAGCTTATCTCAAGGGGAATAGCTGGCTCATTGTCATGCACATAACCAACTTTATAATTTAGTTTTGCCAAACTGTTTTCCAGAAAAGAGGTACCATTTGTGTTAGTTTCCTGAGCCGCTGTAATGAATTACTACAAACTTGGTGGCTTCAATCAGCAGAAATGTATGCTGTCTTTCTTTTGGAAGCCAAAAATCTGAAATCAGTGTCACTGGGCTGAATTCAAGGAGGGCAGGACCGTCTCTCCAGCCTTCAGGGGAGAGCCCTTCCTTGGACTTTGCAGCTTCTGGTGGCTCTAGGCATTCTCTGCCTTTGTCCCCACGTGGCTTTCCCCTCTGTGTGTGTGAAATCTCCTTTTGCATCTTTTATAAGGACACTTGTGATTACATTTAGGGCCCACCCAGATAATCCAGGATAATCCCACCAACGTAAACTCCTTAACTTAATCACATACTTTGCCATATAAGGCAATATTCTCAGATTCTGGGGATTAACGCCTGATCAGTTTGGAGGGGGGTATTTTTCAACCTTCCATCAGCAACGGATAAACCTTCTTGCTGCGCCTCATCCTTCCACCCATGCTTGGCATCATCTGACTTCTACATTTTGCTAGTTTTATTATTTTTATTTTTTGAGACAGAGTCTCGCTCTGTTGCCCAGGCTGGAGTGCAGTGGTGCGATCTCGGCTCACTACAACCTCCGCCTCCCTGGTTCAAGTGATTCTCATGTCTCAGCCTCCAGAGTAGCTAGGATTACAGACATGCACTACCACGCCTGGCTAATTTTTGTATTTTCAGTAGAGACGGGGTTTCACTATGTTGGCCAGGCTGGTCTTCAACTCCTGACCTCAGGTGATCCACTGGCCTCCCAAAATGCTGGGATTACAGGCGTGTGTGAGCCACCATGCCTGGCCATTTTGCTAGTTTTAAAATGTATTCATCTTGAGGTATTGATGCCTTTTCTGGGCCTGGCCTGGTGCTAAGCATGGGGACACAATAAGTCAGACACAATCCTTGACCTCTAGGACTTCAGGGTTGGATGAGTGAGATGGACAAGTGAGTCAGGTGCTATGACAGAGTCAATTGTGATTGTGTCTAAGAGCAATTGATCCAGCCTGGGGAGGTCAAGAAGGACTTCCTGGAGGAGGCGATCCTTCAGTTGAGGCGTAAAGGACTAGAAGAAGTTAGGTAGGTGGGAGGACTTGAGGAAGTGAGAGAGGGTGTTTCAGAGACCAGCAAAGGTAAAGGCGTGAAGGCATGAAACAACATGACTTATCTGAGAAATGGTAAGTAGTTTCATGTGGTTGGAATGAAGGGTGGGAGTAGTTGAAGAAATGAAGGCTTTGTGTGCTAAGCTAAAGAGTCTTGGCTGGGCACTATGACTCACATTTGTAATCCCAGCTCTTTGGGAGGCCAAGGCAGGCAGATCCCCTGAGCCCAGGAGTTGACCAACCTAGTGAGACCATGTCTCTAAAAAATATATTAAAAAACTTAAAGAGTCTAGGCTGGGTGTGGAGGCCGAGGCAGGAAGATTGCTTGAGACTAAGAGTTCGAGACCAGCCTGGGCAACATGACAAAACCCCATCTCTACACAAAATACAAAAATTTGTTGGACATGGTGACACGGGCCTGTGGTCCCAGCCACTTGGAGGCTGAGGTGGGAGGATCACTTGAGCCTGGGAGGTCGAGGCTACAGTGAGCCGTGATCTTGCCTCTGCAGTCCAGCCTGGGTGACAGAGCAAAACCCTGTCTCAAATAAGAAACAGAATACCAAAAAACTCCACAATGATTTGTCATATATATTTAAAGAGAAAAAAAATTTTTGAAGAGTCAAAATATGAATTTAAAAATATTTATATTTCAAAAGAATTTGTATTTGTGTGCTTATAAAATATTTAGATACACATTGGAAGTCAAAAGCTCCCCATGATCCCAACTGTCCCAGGAGAAAATCTCTAATCACATTTTTGGGGTATATCTTTTTTTCCTTTAAAAAAATTAAGACAGGCCTGGTGCAGTGCTCACGCCTGTAATCCTAGCACTTTGGGAGGCTGAGGTGGGCGGATCACCTGAGGTCGGGAGTTTGAGATCAGCCTGGCCAACATGGTGAAACCCCGTCTCTGCTGAAAATACAAACATTAGCCAGCCATGGTGGTTCACACCTGTAATCCCAGCTACTTGGGAGGCTGAGGCACGAGAATCACTTGAACCTGGGAGACTGAGGTTGCAGTGAGCCAATATTACACCACTGCACTCCAGCCTGGGTGACAGAGCAAGACTCCATCTCAAAAATAATAATAATATCTAGAGTCACTATCAATAGTTGGATGTAGCTTTTATTTTAAATAATAGAATGAATCCTTAAGTTCAGATATAGAGGAAGGCAATCAAACACTTGCTGAATACCAGCCCTTTTCAGCTACTCGGGAGGCTGAGGCAAGAGAATCGCTTGAACCCGGGAGGCAGAGGTTGCAGTGAGCCAAGATCGCACCATTGCACTCCAGCCTGGGTGACAAGCGTGAAACTCTGTCTCAAAAATAAATAAATAAATAGATAATTAAAACATGATAATATACAGTATATAGGAAAGTGTCCAATTCTTAAGTACAAATTGCTGAATTTTTACCCATGTTTAACCTATGCTTACATAATCACCACTAAGATCAAGATGTAGATCAGTATGCTGGGGGTCTTTCTCTCTCTCTCTCTCTCTCTCTCTCTCTCTATATATATATATATAATATATATATATATATTTTGAGACAGATGCTCTCTATCACTCAGGCTGCAGTGCAGTGGCACTATCTCGGCTCACTGCAGCCTCTGCCTCCCGGGTTCAAGCAATTCTCCTGCCTCAGTCACTTGAGTAGCTGAGAGTATAGGTGTGCCACCACCCC